>NC_000009.12:101553885-101705400 GCF_000001405.40 Homo sapiens
TGAAACTGTTTTAAAATATTCTGCTCAATCAAAATTCCCTTGCTCTGATGACCTTTATTTTCTTATTACATTGTTCCCCTCCCTCTACTACGCCTGTCATAGGAAGGCACAGGAGAGCCAAAAGGAGATGAAACTATTGCTGGATATGTACCGTTCTGCCCCAAAGGAACAGAGAGACAAAGTTCAGCTGATGGCAGCTGAGAAGAAGTCTAAGGCAGAGGTATTCTAGTCTGCTATTACCTGTCCTTCTGGTTAAAATCTTCATTTGTGGGATTTTCCTTTATACTTGCCAACGATATAATTTCTTTCTTTATCTTTAAAATAAGTGTTTAAGTGCAACATTTTCTGCCTTTTCAAAGACCATCTGAAGTAGAGATTTTAAAACTCTCCATAGGATGGTAAAATATATCTGAATTACTGGGGTTATGAGTAGGCTTTCCAAAGTATGTATTCCTTGTTTTTCCTATGTAATTCATTGCTACAGGGATAATCTTTTTCATTACTTTTGGGAGGAATGTCTTATGCTCTTAAAATTTTGAGGCCTAAAAAAAAGGATGGGAACCACTATTCTAAAGAAAGTTACCTGTGCACTTCTCAAAAGT
Organism: Homo sapiens; assembly: GCF_000001405.40. Classification (NCBI taxonomy): domain Eukaryota; kingdom Metazoa; phylum Chordata; class Mammalia; order Primates; family Hominidae; genus Homo; species Homo sapiens. The sequence continues at coordinate 101,554,488 of NC_000009.12, forward strand.
GTTGCTTATAGAAGCATGTCATAGTAGAATGGAGTGATGTTAAAACAGATGGTGTTATGTAATGTTTTAGTATATTATGTACCTTGTTCTATAATTCTGTAAAGACTCTTTTGGTATTATGAACCTTCTATCTTTGCACAGTATTAATTGATTTTTGAAAATGTGTTATAACTTTTTATTTTTGTGCAATTCCTTTCCTCTTATAGTTGGAAGATCTAAGGCAAAGACTCAAGGATCTGGAAGATAAAGAGAAGAAAGAGAACAAGAAAATGGCTGATGAGGATGCCTTGAGGAAGATCCGGGCAGTGGAGGAGCAGATAGAATACCTACAGAAGAAGCTAGCCATGGCCAAGCAGGTGGACTCACTTTCTTTATTTAATTGACTTTTTGAGTAAATGTTACTTGACAATAAGTTATTGCCAGTGAAATTTGCTTTTTTATTTTGGTCTTTTTTTGATTGTTAATGTGTATTTTTCCTTTTTGTGTGTGTGTTTTAATTCTTACCTTCAAGTCTTTTATCTTTCTGTTATTTTGTTTTGTGTATTTGTGAGGCAAGAAATTTACTTTTATTTAAATGGACATTTATTGAAGATCTAGTCTTTCTCTGCTGTTGTTCAGACAGTTATTGAAGATCTAGTCTTTCTTTGCTGACCTGGAATTAAGGGTTATAGTGAATATAAAATGAAAAATAAGACATAAGATTTTATATACATTATGATTACAAATATATGAAACTAAGAAAACTATGCTTATAAATATATATCATTATATATTTCTATGTAGTACATATACTACACAGAAAAACTATGCTTATAAATATGTGATTTATATATAATAAGGATATAATCTATTAACCAATATAATAACATTGATTAAGCAGTATGTTAACTATGGCTATTTTGGGGTCATAGAACTATAGAGATTGTTCTCCTCCTTATAATGAATATGTATGTATTTTTAAATGCCAGGGAATTTTTATTAAAATTCAATAATAAAGATACTGAAAATGCTTGAAAAAACCATATATGTATTCTCTGTTAGTACACCTTCATTGTTTCTAAGAAATAGCAAAATAACAGTGAGATGGAGTAGGTTTAATGGTAAGTTGATCATGAAGTGCCTTGAAAAGAAGAACTTCATTAGATCCTATACACATTCCTTTTGTTAACAAGTGTAATTTTGGGCTGGGCGCGGTGGCTCATGCCTGTAATCCCAGCACTTTGGGAGGCCGAGGTGGATGGATCACCTGAAGTCGGGAGTTCAAGACCAGCCTGACCAACATGGAGAAACCCCATCACTATTAAAAAAAAAAAAAAACAAAATTAGCTGGGCTTGGTGGCGCATGCCTGTAATCCCAGCTACTTGGGAGGCTGAGGCAGGAGAATTGCTGGAACCCAGGAGTGGAGGTTGCAGTGAGCCGAGATGGCGCCATTGCACTCCAGCCTGGGCAACAAGAGCAAAACTCCATCTCAAAAAAAAAAAAAGTGTAATTTTGACTTTTCTTAAATCTGGTAAATGCCACTTTTTTTTTTCTTCCCTCTCTCTTAAGGTAATTATCAGGAAATTATACTATTATAGGTTCTAGAACAAGTAAAAAGAAAGACACTATGTTCTTGTATACGATGACTATCTTAAAAATGTTCAGTCTTTCTAAGTTTATGTATTAATATAATGTGATCTCATAAAAGTGCTTTTTTTAAGTTTTGCTTTTGTTTATTTTGGTACTAGAAGAACTGGTTTTAAAGTACATGTGGAGAAGTAAACAAGAGTAACAAGAGAAATTGAAAAAGAACAGCACTGGGGTCTCTTCCATATATTAAAACATAAAGTTTCTGTAGATGAAATAGCTTGGGACTACTAGACAGGCTATTAGAACTGAATAGAAACTTGAGAAGTAGTTGAAAGTACACATGATACTTATTATGTGCTAAATACATAGTTTTAAATCAGTGGGGAAAAGAAAAACTGTGACATGTGATGGGACAAAATTAAAAAAAATAATGTTAGAGAAAAGTTAGATACATACTTGAATACACTAGGATGATTTCCAAATGGATCATAGATATGATATTTTAAAAAATGCATCCATCAAAAAGCTAGAAGAAAACCATTAAATTCCTTTATAATTTGGAGTGGAGACCTTTCTATGAATAAAAGGCTAGAAAACATGAACAAAAAATTGATAATTTTGAGTTATTTTTTAAAATGATGCAAAACTTCTACACTGCAAAAAACACTGTTAGCAAAGCCAAAAGATTAAATGACAAAAAGTAAAAAATATTTTTAACTTTTATTACAAAGAAGGCTTATCTGATACAAAAAAAACTCTCCAAAATAGGGAAAAAAACTCAAGAATCCAGTGGAAGAATAGGCAAAAGAAATGAGTTGGTTATGGAAAGAATACAAGTGGTCTTAACCATATGAAAAGATGCTCAGTCTCACTTAAAATGAGATAGATATAAAGTAAAGCTATTATTAGATACCAGTCTTCACCTATCAGATTGTTACAAGGCTTTAGATGTTTGCAACTGCTGGAAATCCTGTAGATCCAGTATTTTAATTGTGGAAAAGCATGAGAAAATGTGAGAGGTTATGATGGAAGTACTCTTAACCAATTGCTGCTTGATCCGTTTGTCTAGATTAAGGTAAATACAATTATTGTCTAATTTAACTGACGTTGAGTACAGATCAACTAATAAGTATCAGACCAACAATTGGTGCCAGTGACTTCAGATAATAGAGCTTCTGTATGCCTAGTGACAAAACACAACTTCTTAAAACTCTGTCACTAAATTAATTTATATCTAAATGAACAGTGGGAAAATTTAGTTTCCTGTGCTCTTCCATTGAAGTTGGAAGATTCTTCTAAAATCAAATCTCTTCCTTCATCCTTTAGGAAGAAGAAGCACTCCTCTCTGAAATGGATGTCACAGGCCAGGCCTTTGAAGACATGCAGGAGCAAAATATCCGTTTGATGCAGCAATTGCGGGAGAAGGATGATGCAAATTTCAAGCTCATGTCAGAGCGTATCAAGTCCAATCAGATCCATAAGTTGCTTAAAGAAGAGAAGGAGGAGCTGGCAGACCAGGTGTTGACTCTGAAGACTCAGGTAATTAGGATGAGTAGAGCTTTCTATTCTGTTGAAATAGGGTGCTTTCTACATGATGATATAAGTAAAAGAATGATTATTGTGGCACATTTTTGTGATTGGAAAAAAATTTGAAAACTAAATGTTCATCATTAGGGTATTGGTAAATAAATTATACATCTCTACTGTTATTCCTACAAAAGAGTACAGTGTACTTGTCAAATATGGATCTGCTAATATGGAAACATGTCTGAAATAAAATCAAGTGACGTGTTTTGTTATCCTTTTTGCGTTAAAGTATATGTTTACTTGTGTTCCTGTGCTGTATATTTTAAAAATTTCTGGAAGGCTGCATGAGAAACTGTTAGAATTGTTACTTCTGGATATTGGGATGAGTTGTGGGTGAGGTTAGGAGGTATGTGTGATTTTACTTTTTTTTTTTTTTTTTTAAATTTCCATAGGTTTTGGGGAACATGTGGTGTTTGGTTACATGAATAAGTTCTTTAGTGGTGATACCAAGATTTTGGTGCACCCATAACCCAAGCAGTGTACATTGTACCCAGTGTGTAGTCTATTGTACCCAGTGTGTAGTCTGTTGTCCCTTGCCTCCCTCCGCCAAGTCACCAAAGTTTATTGTATCATTCTTATGCCTTTGCGTCCTCACAGCTTAGCTCCTACTTATGAGTGAGGACATACAATGTTTGGTTTTCCATTCCTGAGTTACTTCACTTAGAATATTGGTCTCCAATTCCAATTCCATCCGGATTGCTGTGAATGCCATTATTTTGTTCCTTTTTATGGCTGAGTAGTATTCCATGGCGTGACTTTTCCTCTGGGTAGATACCCGGAAGTGGGATTGCGGAATCAAGTGGTAGGTCTACTTTTAGTTCATTAAGGACTCTCCATACTGTTTTCCATAGTGATTGTACTAGTTTACATTCCCACCAACAGTGTAAAAGTGTTCCCTTTTCATCACATCCATGCCAACACCTATTATTTTTTGATTTTTTGATTATGGCCATTCCTGCAAAGTGAGGTGGTGTTGCATTGAGGTTTTGATTTACATTTCCCTGATAATTAATGATGTTGAACATTTTTCTTATGTTCGTTGGCCATTTGTATATATTCTTTTGAGAATTGTATATTCATGTCCTTAGCCCACTTTTTGGTGGGATTGTTTGTTTTGTTCTTGCTGATTTGTTTGAGTTCCTTGTAGATTCTGGATATTAGTCCTTTGTTGGATGTATAGATTTTTTTCTCCCACTCTATGGGTTGTCTGTTTACCCTGATGATTATTTCTTTTGCTGTGCAGAAGCTTTTTCGTTTAATTAAGTTTCATCTATTTATCATTTCTTTTGTTGCATTTGCTTTTGGGTTCTTGGTCATGAAGTCTTTGCCTAAGCCATTGTCTAGAAGGATTTTTCCAATATTGCTTTCTAGAATTTTTATGGTTTCAGGTCTTAGATTTAAGTCTTTGATCCATCTTGAGTTGATTTTTGTATAGGGTGAGAGATGAGGATCTAGTTCCATTCTTCTACATGTGGCTTGCCAATTATCCTACCACCATTTGTTGAATAGGGTGTCCCTTCCCACTTTATGTTTTTGTTTGGTTTGTCAAAGATCAGTTGACTACGTATTTGGCTTTATTTCTGGGTTCTCTATTCTGTTACATTGGTTTACATGCCTATTTTTATACCAGTACCATGCTGTTTTTGTGACTATGGCTTTATAGTATAGGTTGAAGTCAGGTAATGTGATGCCTCCAGATTTGTTCATTTTGCTTAGTCTTGCTTTGGCTATGTATGCTCTTTTTTGGTTCCATATGCGTTTTAGGATTGTTTGTTCTAGTTCCGTGAAGAATGATGTTGGTATTTTGATGGGAATTGCATTTCATTTGTAGATTGCTTTTGGCAGTATGGTCATTTTCACAATATTGATTCTACCCATCCACGAGCATGGGATGTGTTTCCATTTGTTTGTGTCATCTGTGATTTCTTTCAGCAGTGTTTTGTAATTTTTCTTGTCGAGGTCTTTCACGTTCTTGGTTAAGTATATTCCTAAGTATTTTATTTTATTTTTTTTGCAGCTGTTGTCAAAGGGTTTGAGTTCTTGATATGATTCTCAGTTTGGTTGCTGTTGGTGTATAGCAGAGCTCTGATTTGTGTACATTAATTTTGTATAGTGAAGCTTTGCTGAATTCATTTACCAGTTCTAGCACCTTTCTGGATGAGTCTTTAGGGTTTTCTAGGTATATGATAATGTAATCAGCAAACAGTGACAGTTTGACTTCCTCATTACCAATTTGGATGCCTTTTATTTCTTTCTCTTGTCTGATTGCTCTGGCTAGGACTTCCAGTGCCATGTTGAATGGAAGTGGTGAGAGTGGCATCTGTGTCTTGTTCCAGTTCTCAGGGGGAATGCTTTCAACTTTTCCTTGTTCAGTATAATGTTGGCTGTGGGATTGTCATAGATGGCTTTTATTACCTTAAGGTATGTCCCTTCTATGCTGATTTTGCTAGAGTTTTAATCATAAAAGGATGCTGGATTTTGTCAAATGCTTTTTCTGCATCTATTGAGATGATCATGTGATTTTTTAAAAATTCTGTTTATATGGTGTATCAGATTTATTGACTTGTGGATGTCAAACCATCCCTGTATCCCTGGTGTGAGACCCACTTGATCATGGTGGACTATCTTTTTGATATGCTTTTTGAAGGCAGTGTGAGAAACTGTTAGAATGGTTACCTCTACATATTGGGATGAGTTGTGGGTGAGGTTAGGAGGTGGGTGTTTGTGATTTTACTTTTTACACTTTAATATTGTTTGATTCTACTTTGTGCATTAATTTCAAAAAAGACTCTTTTAGAATGTCTAGCCATTCTGAAGGAAATACTCTTGGACTTTTGTTTGAGTTCTAATTTATATGTTATAGTATGAATTGCCAGGTTTTAAGCATTAGCATGCATTCTCTATTTTTGGCAATTTGGAAAAGAATCTTTTCAGTCATTTTTCAGACTCTTACTGAATCTTCCACAATATTTTATATTAAAAGTAAAGCTTTCAGTTATCATAGTCTTGATGTATTTTGAAGGGTTCATGGGCAAAATCAGTAATAGTTTGAGATTTCTAACATACTGTATTTTGTGGGCTTATAGATTAACAGAATAGTTTTTTTTCTTTTTTTAATCTTTTCATTTGTGTTAAAATCTGATTTTCTGTTCAAAGGTTGATGCCCAGCTACAGGTAGTAAGGAAACTGGAAGAGAAGGAGCATCTGTTACAGAGCAACATTGGCACAGGGGAGAAAGAGCTGGGTCTTAGGACCCAAGCCTTAGAGATGAATAAACGCAAGGTATGATTGATTAATCTAATGATGGTTAGTCTCAGTGGAACAAATAAGTATAACACTGTTGAGATTGTAAGTTCGCTTTATTCCTTCAACTTGGGCTAACATTTTGCCTCACTGGCAATAATAGGTGATACAATGGTGTCACTTATTTGTACATCCTACATAGGCAATGGAGGCAGCCCAGCTTGCAGATGACCTCAAAGCACAACTGGAGTTGGCTCAGAAGAAGCTACATGATTTTCAGGATGAGATCGTGGAGAACAGTGTTACCAAAGAAAAGGACATGTTCAATTTCAAACGAGCCCAGGTAAAAGCAGTTGTCTTTTCTTGTCACCTTTTAGGTGTTTTCTGAGGTCGGAAGTGACCCATATCATGAAAGAATCATTAGTCCAATGTATGTCATTTCCTACTAGACTTGAGGAAGTTTGTTGAGGGAAGAGAGTAAGTCTGTTTTCTTCACTGCCATATCCTCAGACTCTTTTATGGTGCCTTGCACCTAGTAGGCACAAAATAAATATTTGTTAAATTAATGAATTAGTAAATTGTTAAAGAAGTAACAGCATAGCAGCAGTAGAGGATTTTCAAGTTCTTGTATAATGTCTCTATTTTTGTCATGCTAGCTGTTTCTCATGATGTCTTTCTGTCTTTATCCGTAAGTCTCTGAATTATTTTAAACCGTTCTACCTTCAGCTTAAAACTAATTACTATAAAACAAAATAGACTGTCCTCTAAACTCTTAGATGTGTTTTCACAGGACTGAATTGGTAATAGATGCAATTCTAATTTGGGGATATAATTATGGTTGCCTCTTCTGAAACAAAAGAAAATATCCTGCCATTTGCAGTTCTCTACATTTCTACAAGATAATTGACCATAAAAGGATAGAAAGTCCCCTCTTTTCACAACAGAAAACTCAAGTCTATTATTTTTCTCAAAAATGATAGATTTGGGTAAGTGTGTCTAATGGGTATGCTATCCTGCCACAGGAGGACATCTCTAGACTTCGCAGGAAGCTGGAGACCACAAAGAAACCAGACAATGTACCCAAGTGTGATGAGATTCTGATGGAAGAGATTAAGGATTACAAGGTTAGAAAAAATGCCTTAGTGATTAGTTTTTTGTCAAAGCTTTAAGTGGCCTAATAGACTGGGAGAATAATTTGCATGATAGTAACCAGAGAATGGTTTATTTTGGAGGTTGGGGGGAAATGATGCTCTTTTTTTAGTGCCTTGTGGGTTTTCTTCTTGGTTGTGTAGTATATGAGAGCCATTTGGATCATAAACTTTCATGGTTGTTCAAACTCTGACATCTTTTCTTTTTAGGCACGCTTGACCTGTCCGTGCTGTAACATGCGTAAAAAGGATGCTGTTCTTACTAAGTGTTTTCATGTCTTCTGCTTTGAGTGTGTGAAGACACGCTATGACACCCGCCAGCGCAAATGTCCCAAGTGTAATGCTGCTTTTGGTGCCAATGATTTTCATCGCATCTACATTGGTTGATCTAAGTCAAGAGAAGAAGAGGAGCTGGCTAGTCAGGAACTTATTCATTAACCACCAAACCTCTACCTCTTCTCTCCTTGACTGTCACCTGTAGGACAGTTTATCAGTCAACTACCTTTCCTCCAGACTTTACTTCCAGGCTCTCCTCTTCAGTAGCTGGATGACTTTAGCAGAAAGGACTGGTAAATACAAGCCTTGGGTTTCAGAATGAATTAGAAACAAATAACTCTTACTGTCTTCCCTCCCAGCTTTGTTTATTTTGTGCTTTTAGACTTTTCAGTGTTTTCTTTTTCCAGCCCACTGTATAAACTTGGATTGTCCATTCCTCCTGAAGAAATCAAGTTGGTATTTTTGATGTGGAAAAGGGAACAAAAGTGGAAACATGGCTACTTTTGGGGAGTGATATTTTAAAAAATAAGTTGTCTATGGGCACAAAGTTTTCTTCATTTGTGTAGCAAACTTCTTGTGAATGTGGATTACAAAATGGTATAATTGTGCTACTCTCCCCTGGGTGGTTTGCAGCCCTAATGAAATTATGTCTAGGATGATTCAGTCTATTTCCCATTTACTAGCAGAGTAACTTGTTAAGATCAGCTGGCTTTCTTGTTAAAGTTATTTAAGTTTTGAATGCTCTACTACTTCAAGTCTTTAAATTTCTTGAGACTAGAATAATTTTAAATAATATGACCCTTTGTCTTCTAATGAAATAAAGATTGAAGAGGTTGAGTCAGGACTGAGCTGGTGAAGAAATCTTGTGGGTATTCTGGAAATTTGATACGGAGAGAACTTGGTGAGCTATGAATTACTCTCAGTCTCCTTTTTACAGGGTTGTTGTGATCCCTCTTTTCCAGAAAATTCTGTGGAATGTTTCTGTAGGACTTTGTTCTCCACAAGCTTGAATTAAAGCAGGATTCAGTTTGCATTTGTGTTTATGGTTTTTCTTTGAAACTTTTGTCTTTATTATTACAAGTTGATTTTATATCTGCTGTTATAGAATTAAATTTTCTTGCATGGAAATAATCAGCTTAGGTTAAGAGGTTGGCCTTGTTTAGAGTATTTAGATCTTTGCTTAATTGAAGCACTTTTCTCCCAATTCTTTTATTGAGTCTATTCTATGGAGAAATTATACCTAAAAGATTAATTTATTTGACTACTCAGTTATCTTTCATAGTTCATTAGGTGGGGTAAGAGACTATAATTTGTTTTTTGGGGGAGCATATTGCTGCCTCTAGCTTTAGGGTGAGAGTTCTTGCATTATGTGGTGGGTTTTTTTTTTTTTTTTTTGAGATGGAGTTTTGCTCTTGTCGCCCAGGCTGGAGTGCAGTGGCACAATCTTGGCTTACTGCCACCTCCGCCTCCTGGGTCCAAGCAATTCTCCTGCCTCAGCCTCCCGAATAGCTGGGATTACAGGTGCTCACCACCATGTCCAGCTAATTTTTGTATTTTTAGCAGAGATGGGGTTTTACCATGTTGGCCAGGCTGGTCTCAAACTCCTGACTTCAGGTGATCCACCTTCCTTGGCCTCCCAAAGTGTTTTGATTACAGGTGTGAGCCACCATGCCCAGCTGCATTATGTTTTATAATAACCAGCAAACCAGAGGTTTCATAAATCTCTGGCAAGGGGTTGTGTAAAATGGATCCTTCTTGATCACCACCTGTCCTAGAAGACAGGTAAGAGCAAATTCTGTGTCTTTCTGTGGTCACCAGCTATAATCAGCAGGATTTGCACTGAATTCCACAAAGTCATGTGGTATGAATTAAGCAATGAGTCTAATTGAAGAATCTTACTAGGTCATCAAGAGAGGTCATGGGTCCCTTGATCCCCCTGCTCAGCAAACACCCCCACCCCCACAGAACCATCATGACAGGATTAGCTCCTGCTTCTGGACACAGTGAGTTTTCATTTAGTAATAGGACACTTTCCCCTTGCTTCTTGCTCTTCTTATAGGGTAAGCTTGAGCATAACTTTGTTGGTTGGGTGCAGATATACTGCTTGGTCAACAGGTGGTTTGGGCTTGGCTGTTGGCTGTTTGTGACAATTGGCTGAGAAAGCCAGCTGCCCAGCACCAGGGGACCATAGGGCCTGTGGAATGTTGTGGAGGAAACCACTAGCCCCATGGGAAGTTGGATTTAGAGGAAGTTCCTCTAGTTGAGATGAGCAGGGAGCCCCTGATCCCAACTGGCTTGAGGTCCTGGCAACACAAGTTGAGCTCTCACAGTCATTTTCAGATAACAACCAAAAATGATGGTGATTTTTTGGCAGTTGGCTTCTCTCACTACAGAAGAGGTCAATGAATGCGCTTTAGGAATACTCCCAAACTGCATACCAAATTTTATTTGTATTGTATGTACATTATTCATAGCTTTTTTGGATCCTAGTTAGCAATCACAGCCCTTGATCCATATGAACTTTAAAGGGTAATTTCTTTAAGGTAATGCTTATAAATGCCAATTTCAAAGATTATTATAGAAGTCCTAGAGGCTTCTCATTTCTTAAAAACACTTCAGGCTGGGTGCAGTGGCTCACGCCTATAATCCCAGCAGTTTGGGAGGCTGAGACAGGAGGATTGCTTGAGCCCAGGAGTTTGAGACCAGCCCAGGCAACATAGGGAGACCCCGTCTCTACAAAAAATTTCGAAAATTAGCTGGCTGTGGTGGTGCACACCTGTAGTCCCAGCTACTTGGGAGACTGCAGCGGGAGGATAGCTTGAGCACCGGAGGTTAAGGCTGCTGTGAGCTGTGATTATGCCATGGACTCCAGCCTGGGTGACACAGTGAGACCCTGTCTCAAAAACAAACAACAACCATTTCAGATTTTGTAGGGATGGTCTCTCTCTCTCTTTTTTCTTTCTTTCATTGTTACCTTGGAAATTTCTTAGTGACTTTGACCAAAGTCAGGTGTGCTCTGAGGCATGCATAACTACATGGCTTGGATCTTACCTTCTTACTTACTATAGGGATCTTTTTCAAAGGTATTGAGCTGTTTCTGCAATTGTTTTCTTACATGAATTTCCATTGCAATTCCTTTTCCTTTTTCTCTGTCCAGATCCGTAGGCTTCCTTGTTCTTCAAGGGCCGGAATTTGATGCACATAGTTTAATGTACATGCCACTAGAGTGATGACTGTGATTTGATTTTGTGAAGATTCTAGACAATAAATAATCATCAGTCTTCTAAACCTACTAGGATGGTGATGCTTACACTTGCCGGAAGCATATGCTACTCTCATCTTTATTCCCATTGTCATTTGCTAGGATGTGGAATGCCGTTACATATTGTTCTTTGAAGATTTATCTGAGGACTGCCAGATAAACCCATGTCCCAGTGGATCTGCAGAAAAGTTTTGATTAGTCATTATTGCAGAAGTCTGCTTTTCTGATGTTAAGACAGATACACTGAGATTAGTAGAAAAATGGTGGATTATGTGTAGGTTGGATTGGGTTTGCACAATAGGAAACCCATGACATAGAAATACTTACAAATTTTCTAGATCTTAAAGTTTGGAAATACTTAAAAGTGGTCCTATCAGAAAGAATGAGCTTTACCTTCTGGGATTCCTGCCCATGTTTGGTCTGTTCCAAATGTTAGCTATTAAGGTCTTACTTATAGCCTACTTCACAATTACTAAAGGACATGAAAAGGACAATGTCTTAACAGTCTAATCCCTAATATCTAGCAGAGGCACATAGTAGTCAGTAAAGTTTTTCATGATTAAATTAATTCTGCTTCATGGTTCTGCTGCCAGATCTTCCGAAGTCTGCTTTACTGGGCCAATGTGTGATTCAAACCTTATTACTCTTTCTTTTTTTCACCCCCTAAGTAGAAACAATCTTTCCCCATATATCGAAGTAACCCTTCAAATTTGTATTATCCAAAAATATATGACTACAGTTTTAATTTATTTTGTGGCAATAAAAGGAATTATTATGAATTCTAAAACTAACACTTCTGTAGTGGCAGCTCATGAGACTGCTGAGTCTCATGTAGCTGAGACTTCACTTACTGCAAGGCACACATGATAACCACTACGCTACGGAAACCTGCATAAAAGCTTCATTTATTGTAAGTTAACCTTTTTTTTTTTTGAGGGAAGCTATGTTCACATTAATATAATAATAATATGCTCTGAGGATATTAGAGCTGAAAGGGAACTCAGACCATGTCCTTATTTTAGAAGTGAGGAAATAGGTTCCAGGGCCACTCAGGTTAGCCACAGGATTGAAATGCTACTATGAGAACTCCATTGTTCTTTTATCCCAATCGGAGACCTGTACTAATAGAGTACATGTCATCAGGTAGACAATAAGTGAAAATACTTTCTGAGTCATTTTGAAGTCTTCTAAAGACTTACATATACCTACTATACTTATCCTTGATCATTCTAATCTAACTAGACTCTTTGCCAGGCCCTGGATTAGAACTACATTTTGTTTCTGAATTCACTGAGTTCCTTTAGCACCTTGTTGTAGAGTAGAATTGAATCAAGGGATCTTAGATTTCTTCCTGCTCTCCCAATCATATGCATTTGCTGAGTGCTTATTGTGATTCCAGGCATTGTGTTAAATATATTTCTCATGAAGTCCGACTTGCCTGCGTATGGTGCTGCTACTTATTAGCAAGTTACTTCATGTCTCTATGCTTCAGTTTCTTCATCTATAAAATAATAACTACATCATAGGGTTATATGGAGGATGAAATGAATCATCATACAGGAGACATTCAGCACAGCGCCTGGCACCTAGTAAATGCTCAGCAAATGCTAACTTTTATAATTGTTGAGCAAATAAAGAAATTGATAGATCAACTTTCGTTTCCACCTACATTTTCTTATTTCTAGGGAAAAAAACAAAACAAAACAAAACACTGACATCCTCCCTGAAATCTAAGACACACGTTTATCCATGTCTGTCTGTCTCTAGTCTGCCTGTCCTGGTAAATGATGTCATGGCCAACTCATTCCAAAACTTCAAAAAGTTAACTTTATCTGCTCACTGTCCTACAACTAAAATGCATGTGAGTGACATCCAGCTCCACCTGGTGGTGAGGATCCTGTTCTTTTACTAGTTGTCTCTTCAGCTTAAAATCCTTTAGTGGTTCCTGTAGTCTTCAGGACACAAATCCAATTTAGCACAAGTGATCTTGCCTCTGCTTTTCTCTTTCCAGTTCATATAGTTTGTCATCCACCTTAAGCTGTGTGTTTCTATTATATTAAATGATTTGAAGGTCCCAGTTTCTTGATTGCCATGGTTTCCCTAATCTGGAATTTTGTACATGCTTTCTTTTAGTTTAGTTGCCTGTTACCCTCCACTGAGTCTCTTCACCTCACACACCTGCACCCACATGCACACATACACACAGTGTTTTCTTCACTCCAATAGTACCCGTTGTGCATTTCCTTATTAGAGTACACACCATAAAATGTCAGTTTGTGTCCTTTCATTACACTGAGCTCTATGGGATCAGAATCTGCTGTTTTTATCTGTCTATTTCCAGCAACTAGCCCCAATGCCTGGGTACAAATAGGCATCCAAAATATGAATGATTGAGTAATGCAAAAACACCCTTAGGTAAGTAGGTAGTTGAATTAAGTTATAGTGGATTTACATTTTCATGAGATTTGATTGTTTCTATTCGGAAAGAATGTGTGTGAAGAAGGCAACAGGCTAGCAGATTCATGAAGGCAAATTTGCCTGCAGCTAAAACTGCTTGGGTTATCAGAAACTGCCCATATGTCTGGGACTGCAGGGCTGCTGCTGATTTGTAACTGTGTTTGCATCAGTTCTTGGTTGGGCTAGAAAGCAGAAAGAAAAGATGCTGAAATGCTATTTTTATGAGACATAGGTATTACAGTGTTGAGTTAAATGGACCAATGAAGGTGCAGTTACAATATCCGCTTCTCTCTCTGTTCTGTGGAGCTAGGGGCCAGGCCGAGGCATGGGAAAGAAGCAGTAAGGCAGAAAGACTAAAAGGGGATTCAAGGAAGAATAGAAAATTGTGAGGCAGTGACCGGAATCCTGTATGGTTGTACAAATCTCTGTTACTATTACTAGTTCTGCAACCTTGGGCAAGTTACATAGTTTCTCTGACTCTTGTTTTTTTATCTGTAAACTGGAGGTCTCATTTACCTACTTAAGACTACATCTATAGTGCCTATCTTGTGGGGTTGTTAAGATTAAATGAGATCATGGTTTATAATAAGTACCCAATATATGTTAGTTGTTACAGTATTACCTGTTTATAGGTTGTAAAAAGGTCAGATTGAGGGTGGGCGTGGTGGCTCATGCCTGTAATCCCCACACTTTGGGAGGCCGAGGTGGGTGGATCACGAGGTAAGGAGATCGATACCATCCTGGCCAACATGTTGAAACTCCATCTCTACTAAAATACAAAAAATTAGCCAGACATGGTGGCAGGCGCCTGTAGTCCCAGTTACTCGGGCGGGAGGCTGAGGCAGGAGAATCACTTGAACCTGGGAGGCAGAGGTTGCAGTGAGCCGAGATCATGCCACTGCACTCCATCCTGGTGACAGAGCAAGACTCCGTCTCAAAAAAAAAAAAAAAAAAAGAAAAAAGGTCATAAGTTAGGGACCATACCTATCTTCTTCACTATTGTGTCTCCAGCACTTGGCACGTACATGGAAGCTGTTTAGCAAATGTTTGTCGAATTACTGATGAGGGTGATCAGTACAGGATTTTAGAGACCTCTGAACTTGTGCTTTTTCCTGGAATGTCTATCTCAGATGAAGCCATTTCAGTTCTACTTCATGATGCCTGAGCTCTGAGATTTCTCAGCATATCTTGTGTTTCTTCTTTGGACTATAGCAAGGAAATAAGCATAAATCATAGCATTAATGGGTCTCCTATTAAGAAGGAACTGGTATCATGTCAACATTTGAATCCCCAAAGACAAAGCCAGCAGTACATCCAAAAGTGAAGTTTCTATCTGAACATTTATTCCACAGTCATAGAAACTGAAGATGGAAAAGACCTGAGGACATCTAATCCATCCATGTGGTTGTACAAGAAAAGTGGCTGGAGCAAAACAGCCCGTTCACTTCATGCTCACAAGACAGCATTTCCGTTCTTCCTGGAGCGGAGCGATTGCAAACACATTAAAATGAAGACACAATGCAAATACTCTTCACAAACCTTAAGAAAATACTTATAAATACATTATTTTCATAAAATGATTAGTAACTAAAAAAAAAGAGTGAGGGAATCCTGGATTAGATGGATAGTTTAGGTGGGTAAAGAAAGGAATAACTAAACAGTATAGATAGTAAAGTAGTATTAATGCCTAGAAAGCAATTTCTGAAGAACTGGATGGGTTTTCTGTTTTTCCTATCAAAAATATGAGTTGGGAGAAAAAGAGGCTCTAAAGTAGTTTCTTTCCCCTTTATTCTTTACCCACACCAAGGAAGTGCTTAACTTGCTCTAAGGCTCTAACAGACACAGCACCAACACTGAGAAGTCTGTTACCCAGATGATAAGGTCTGTTCTGCTTGGCACTTGCTCCGCTTACCACTTTTCTGGCTGGAAGGGAAGCAGCAGCTCTTGATAGGGTTTGTGCAATAGCAAGATTCATGAATAGCAGAGAGTCATCTCCAGGCACATTAAAGACCTCGACTGCTTGGGTCCCTGTGGCTGCTTCACTTGGCTGTCCTGGTTATTCTTCCAATTTGTTTTTAAATTTTGGGAGATTCCCCTTTCTCCTCCACCTGGAAGCATACACACTCTGGGGCCTTGATTATTCTTATTTACACGAACCAGGTAGCTATATCTGTTCCAGCTCATCTGAGCATGCTTTATCATGTGCTTCCTGTGCCAGAAAAGCAAGGTAGCGTCCCTTATCTCTTTCTTCTTTACCAGAATACCACCCTCTATCTGAAGGCTTCTGATCTTTGTGTTTTTTTTGAGCCTCAAAGGAGTTGAAAGAACAGAGGCAGAGCTGAACGGAAAGGAGGTTTCCAAGGACCCACCATTTCATGACATCATTTTACAAAACACAATACACTGTTTCACAAATTGCAAAACACTGTTCAGTTACTACCAATAAAAATAACCATTGCTACTTAACATGAAGACTGCTTCGTTTCACCACAAGCAATTATGGTTTTTCTTTATTCAGAACATAGAGGCATTTCAAGCAATGTTGATGGCAGTAAGCCTGCTGTCAGCCCCTGCTGCTGCTTGCTGCATCCTGGCCAGTGTTTTGGCCAGGTAGTTCCTCCAAAGATGTTTGAGGAGCGTGCATTGGTCATCTACTTTGTGGATAGGCAGGGCGATCTGGCATGTGATCACCACTGCTCAGAATGCCTCACTAGAGAAGCTTAAGGTAAATCCGATATACAAAAATGCAGACTTACAAAACAGATACATTAAGGGATAATTAATTGCATTACAAAAGGGTGCTTTACTTTACAAAAGAATTCACTTCTGGGTTCCCTTAAACAGCCAGCTTCTCAAATACAGTCAGAATATGAGCTGAGTTACAAAAATGTCCATGTACATTAGGAGCATGGCTGTAATGTGGATTGAGGTACACCTGTACATCAGCCTTCCGGGCTGCACAGAGGTTCAGGGGCACGCAGAGCATGGTGGCAGAGTCTCCAGCATTCTTAGCTGGTACAAGTGGGTGGGGATGGCTAAGGGGCAAAATCTTCCAAAGGCAGTTGCAACCTACTTCTGGGCCTGGGGTGAGAACGTGAGGGGATGGGGTGTTTCAACACAGAACTGTCCTTTTGTGTTTTCAGGGCTCACCTGTTTCCTCATTATTGAACTGTTTCATCTGTGGAGTTGGTGACCTCTAACTTTAGAGCCCTCCCACATCCATATCAGTATCTCTGAGCCTCCCTCCACTCCAGGGTTTTCTCAGCCAATTAATCACTAGGTGTTATCTAACTACAGCTTAAGTTGTTATTCCCTGGGTGACTGGGTAGATTTTGGTGGAAATGCAGACATTTCATCCAGTAGTAGAGGGAGAAGTTTTGTGACTGAGACACCTTTCCAGTGATCTCCAGCTGTAAAAGAGGAAAGTGCTTGGCACAGCTCCTGAACTTATTGTAGGCATTCAAATTGGTTGGGGGTGGAACAATGAGTCCTGAGAAGATAAATCAAGTAATTGATAAATAAGGAAGTCTTGTCCTAAATGGTGCCCAGGGGTGGGGGTGAGGATGTTGAAGGAGAGTCAGCAGATGTGTGCTAAAATTATTAAAAAGCAAAACAAAACAAAACAAAACTTCTCAAACAGGTTTTCTCTTCATGCTTCTCCTCCTGCCTGTGGGCAGCCAAACTTCCAGAATGGTGTTTCTAGAAAAGTAATTTTTAGACCACCTGTGTCAGTCACTTGGGGGTGTTGGTTAACAGTAGGTTTCTGAGCTCACCTCTAGACCTCCACCCCCAACCCCATAATCTCTGGAGAAGGGTCTTGGCAATCCGCACTCTGATGAGTTCTCTACTAGATGACTCTTATCTACATTGACATTTGAGAACTGACCCATATTCCTTTCCCTTGCTGCCTAAACTTGATATGCTGAGAAAGTGACACCTAAGCAGAGGGGAGGTTACTTGTATCAGTCTTTGGGGGGCATTAGATGAGGCTGGAGGATCATTAGAGGGACCAAAACCAGTTCATAGCTCCTCAGAGATGAGTGGGTGTGAGGATGGGGGATTGACTTGATTTTCTATACAGATATGCAAAGTGCAGGGCAGATTCCTGAATGGTCGAAGCTTATAGTGTTCCCGGGCTGGAGGTTTTGGGATTTCTATGCTAAGCGATGGGTGACTGCTGATCTGAAAATGGCCTAGTGTGTGGTGTGTAGAACATTTCACCCACAGTGTCACATATTCCATTATAGGCAATAAGGGATATTCCAGGTCCAACCTAAGGCCACAACCTTGCTTTGCCTTTTTCTCTCTTTTCCTTTATAAAAGGCACACACCATAGTGGAGATGCTTAGTTACATTAGAAGTAGTCTTATTCATTTTTTAGCCAAATTGCCTTTCTGGCCCAGAGCTTTTGTTCTGAAAGCATGGTATGCATTTTTAATGCCTCTGCTGCCTGTCTTCTGTTTCCGCTTACCACATCCCCTCCCCTTTTCACAGTAGGGTGTAAGCATGCTCTTACTAAACAGTCAGGATGGAGTCAGAGATCCAGAACCTTCTCAAAAACATGGCTCTTGCCTGGTCCAATCAATCCTTGACGTTTATGATACTAATGAGTTAATTTTTAAATACCCCACCCCCAGTGGGAGGTGCTCTGCTCTTACCTGCTCCCCATTCAGAATGTAGGAATAAATCTAGATCGGGGAGTTGTATCAAAAGCTACAACCCTAGATAACCTCGTTCTGTGTTACGATGAAAACCAGCAACCCAGTAAGACATAAGTGTGAGTAACAATTTTATCTCTTGTTGGTAGTGCAGAGAAAGGGCTAAAAACCAGAAATATTACTGTGGCACCTGGTGAAAAGGTTAACGGCAGCTGGGGTTATCTGGTTATTCACAGATCTCTCGCACAGAGCTTACTCCTGACTAAGATTCTTGCTAGAAAAACACTCCTACCCTGGAGACCTAGAGAGTGAGCTTGAGAGGAGCTGCTGCTGCACTTTAGGCGAGGGAGAGCAGACTTGACCTTTAAGAAGACCTAGACCTCAGCTTCCCCACACCTTTGTCGATAGTTACAAAAGAGCATTACAAAGTGTCTCAAGGGCTCAGAGGAAGGTCAGGAACTGAGAAAGGGAAGCAGTGTGGTCACCTAGGACTCACAAGTCCGACTTGTCCTTTGATACTCCTCCAGCTCCGTTTTCCTGCTCACAGCCAGCTGCAGCTCCTGACGGATCACCTGAATCTGCTTCTCGAGCTCTGAGAGTTCCTGCATCACTGAGTTCCGAGATACATTTAGGGAGTCTGCTTTCCCATTGGTGGTCCGCAAGGCAGGGAGCTCTCTTCTCCTTGGAGGGAGGGGGATGTCCTGGTGGATCCGGATGCCCAGCTGGTTTTGTCCTTCCTCATCACTAAAGATGTATTTCCGTCGGTTGTCATGACTCAGATTGGAAGTATTCCATACGGTAAGCTGACGGGGTCCCACATTAGACCTAGGAAACAGAGAAATTTTAGATTTACTTTCCATTCTGCAGCTCTCAAGGTGCTGTCTTCATCTGTTAGCCATTTCCTGTGCAATAATATGGAGCTGGGTGTGCATTTAGAGATGAAGTAACAAAGCCATGGACAGACTACCTGCTAGGGTGTCATGGGGCAATAAAGAGTCATGAACATACAAAAGTTCAAGTCCCATGCTGCTCTGAAACTGGAATTGGGTGTCATTTGAAGGGATGATAGGATGGGGTATGGTGCATTTTTTTTTTTTTTTTTTTTTTTTGCAAACAACCTCAGGTGGCTTTTAATTTCCTTTCTGCAAGGGAAGCTCAGAAACTAGCCACACCTTGAAACGTTTGATGATTTGAAAGATGATGCTTTAATAAAAGCAAAATCTATTTATTCACTTGTTGGGTTCTGAGCATCAACCTGCTGACAGATCTCATAACATGGCTCATCCTTAGTCCCACAGGACCATCCTGATGTTTACTACTTGATCTTGGGGAGAAAAAAAGCATATAAGCCACAGGTCTCAGCAAAGTGTTTCTTACTATAGGGATGATTTTTATGTGAGTTGAGAATGACAGGTCAGGTCCGATGCTTAAAAAAATCCCGAGAAAGCCCTCAGTTTCTTGCTGGGATAATGAAAGTCATATAGAAAGCAATTTGCAATCCTGTTTTAGGCTTGCATCGTATCACCTACTACCATCATGGAGAGATGGCTATAGACAGCATGAGAATTATTGCCAAATAGTCACAGGGGAAGGCTGATCCTGTTTCTGAAATACACTTTGATACTTATGAGATAAGGAGAGTTTCTCACTACAAGAATAGATTAGAGCCCTAAGCAGCATAGCTGCTGATTTTTTCCACCATAGGAGAAGAAGCAGGAGGAGGAGTAGGAGGGTTATGACAACTTTTGCAATCTACCACAGGACAAAACTAAATAGAAACACCCTACCAAGCCATTGTGTTTTTGTTCCCATTCATGTAACTGAATTGACTTTTTTCCTGGACTCTTACTTGCCAGGAGAAGGGGACAATCTGGAAGGAGAAGGGGAAAGAGAAGAATAATAAAGTCTTTATGTAAAAGTGGCCATAAACCTTCTTTTCTCCTTTCATTTATGCCCTCTGTAATGTGACTTTGCAGCTTGTACCTATGCTGAATCTGCTTTCCTCCCCGCTTCAGTTAGGAGTGTTCTCACAACTTGTTTTGGGCAACAGAAAGTGGCAGACATATCAGAGTGGCAGTTCCAAGCCTAAACTTTTAAGAAGTCTTGCACATTTCCACTCTCTTGGAACCCTGCTGCTGCAATGTGAACAAGTCCAGAATGGCCTGCTGCATGATGGTAGACCATATGGAGAGAATCCTCAGGCTTCCCAGTTGACTAGCTGAGGCCATCATAGACCAGACAGCCCTTAGCTGCTTTCCCCATCCCCCAAAGTTGGCTACAGACATATGAGCAAACCCAGCCAAATTCAGCCAAGTCTGGCTCAGATCAGCAAACTGCACAGTTGATCCATGAATTAGTAAGCAACTTGCTGTTGTTTAAAACATTAAGTATTGGGATGATTTATCACATAGCAAAGACCAACTTATACATGACCCAAGCCATTGAAACACACACTCCAAACCACCCTGTGGTTCTTTAACATGCCTCATAGTCTAAGTTTTATATAAATGAGCAGAGGGTACCAGAGCTCAGTTTTCTTGTATCCTGGGCTGGGTAAAAGTTCTGTAATGAACCCACTTATAGCTCCATTGGCTTTAGACCTGAGTCAGAGAGGAGATGTAATTTTTCTTCTAGCTTTATAATTCCCTTTAATTTTTTTCTTCAAATCTTTTCCTATTGAATTTGAATAATCTTAAAGTAATCTTGGTTGTGCTGTTATGTAGTTTGTAATTTTTGTGTGTCTTGGGGTGAGAGGAAAGGGAAAACAGGGGTGACATGTATTGATTGGGAACCCAGTGAGATGAAAGATAGACCAAAACCTTATGTGAAATCACATGTTGAATAAACCCAGGGCTATATATAAATCATCTCCTGCAATATGTACCTTATTTTCTTTGCATTAAATGAGAAAGGGACAATACCTACTTCCATATCATGGCCCAAAATTTCTCCAAGCATTTCCTCAAACCCATGTTAATAATTCATTCATTTATCTATTTGCTCTTTTATTTGTTCAGTAAATATGGGGCACAGAGGAGGGATGTCAAGTTGTAGCATGCATGAGCATTTGCATAGATATACTTCCAAGAGAAGAGAGGGAGAGCATTCTAATGCCCTACAATGGTTCATAGCAGGGAAAACCTGAGAGTAGAGCATCTACACATTTTCTTCAACTGTCTAGACAGCCACAGTGATAAGGTAAGTAAAGATAGCTGGACTGGTCTTCTCCAGAGCTTTGTATATCTATCTGGTAATATAATATAGAAGAATAAACAAATGCTGGACTTTGTGCCAAATTCTAGTTGCTAGTATCACCAGGCATCTGATATTTGATGTGGGTACCTATGAGTGCAAGGTGACAAATGCTGAGTGTAAGACTCAGTGTCTACTTGGAAAAAATAACCCAAGGCTGGTGTTATACTCCTAGCCTCAGTAACATTTAGGCTTTGCTTTGATTCAAGCCTTCGTCAGTCTTAGAGTGTTACATGACCAGTGAGTGAGCTGTATTTAACACTAAAAATGGGTAAAATAGGCTTCCCTGGAGCAATTATGTAACACTGAGGTTCAATACTCCACTGGACTATTCCAAAGAGACATGACGGCTATGGTACGCCAAACACTCATTGTGTTTGACAGGTTGCTAATGTTGGGTTGTATAGAGGTAGGCACAGGAAATGTGAGCCCAAGCTAAACCATGAACACCTGTTCTCCTTAGATCCTCAAAATAAGGGGTTCAGGAAGGGAATCTGCCAAGAAAACTGGGTAAGTTGCATCAAAAGACACAAATGGTTTTCAATTTATGTGAGAAAGATGTGAATATGAATCATATCACAGTTGGAGATGGGATCATTGGGCTTCCTGTTTCTATTATAGCTGGAAAACAAATATTTTTTCATTGTAAGATGATACATTTGCTGCTATGTCTTCTTGTGTTACTGTTATTAAAAATTTATGTTAAAAATAGAAAAAATAGATGTAACATGTCATGGAACAGCTGTGACTGGACTAGTATACAGCTTGTCACTAACACACTTGCAATATGATGCAGGAATACCACAGACTGAGAGGGGAGGGGAGAGTGCTCATTGACTGGAAAGAGATACTTCAAGAGATAAAGGAAATGATTCCAACAAGCTAGATGGAGACTGCATAGAAGGGGACTGCAGCAGTCCCAGAAAAGATACAAACAAAAAGAATCCTGTTTTCCATCCCTTTTTCTTCTGTTATGATGAGAGGTGTGCCCTCATCTGAGGCCTCTGGGTGTACAAAAGAATCAGTAGGGTTGCCTTAGGCAGCAGGCAGCAGAGACTAGCCAGGAACCAGACCCAAGTGCTTCTGACATCTTTAGTCACCATGAAATAGGGAACAGTCATCCACAGCCTGGTGTGGTGAGAGTGAAGAGCTTCGATTTTCAGATGTCATTAATGCATTTAATGTTTGTTATTTCCTATTAATAAGATGCTCTTTGCTAGGGAGTTTGTAGAAAAGTGCCAGGAAATGAATTAGGCATGACATGTCTGTTTCATATTTCCAATACTCTGTTCCTAGGAATGCTAGAAAGGAGTAGGGAGTGGAAATATGCCAAAAAGACAGTAAAACATGGAATTAATTGCCTGCGGTATTCATTAATTCTTACATGTATTTTGTACATAATAATAGCTAATATTTATTAGGCATTTCCTTTCATTCAGAGATGTACATGTATGATCTTATTTAATCTTTACAACAACTCTAGGAAATAGGTACTGTTTTTATCTCTACTTTACAAATGAGGAACTTGAGGTGCAGAGAGATTAAATAAGTGACTTACACAAAGTAACACATATCATAAGTCTTGGAGACAGGATTTGGATCCAGAGGGTTGATCCTAGAGTCCATGACTACACTTCTAACCATGACAGTATATTGTGTACACTGCATTTTAGTGTCCATATACATTTTTTATTTTATGTTTTATTTCCCTCTATTTATACTGATTCTTTTGATAAATTGCCCTGATTTGATCTGAATAATTATACAGTTAGATCTCTAAAGATTATTTTACAAATATAAAGACAGTTGCCATTGGCCCCTTCTTACCTCTTTTCCACACGTTTGGTCTTGAAATGCTGCTGCTTTTCCTCTATAAATGATGTATTTATTGCTCTGTGTAATCTCTGATGGAGAAAACAGATTCACAGGTAGAAATTATGAGAAACACATAGGTCAGGGAACAAAGAACCACTTGAGATGTAACAGTATATGTAGTCGTTACAAACCTTGGCCTCTTTAAACAAATTCCAGAAATGCCTAAAAATAGATCAACATTCAGCCTCAAATCTCAACAGAACAAAAATTCTAATTAGAGGTTATTATTCCACCTGGAGAAACAAAAAAGTGTTCTGATGGAAAGCTCAGTATTATAAAACGGTATGTGATATAAGGAGGCACAATCATAACTAATGTGTAGCAAAAGGCCTTCCATAATTGCTAAAGATGAGTAAAAAGTATATAATTAATTGACAACCAAAACAAAGAAGGGAAGGAGGACTCTTGAGAATTAAGTTAATCATATTAGCATACAATAAGGAAGATCTGTGGAGTTCTCCTAGAAGACCAAATACTTCCCAGGATAAAAGTAGGAAGAACAGGGTTCAACTGTAACCAAACCAATGATAGTAACCTATCTAGAAAAAAAAAAAGTGTTACCAAAGTGAGGAGTTTAGTATGAGGGTATATGAATACATGAATAGGGTAAATGCAGAAGTGACAGCCTCCCTGCTGGGAGGTAATCCATGGTACACTGGAGGGCAGGAGGTGGTCTCACCACAGGAGAGGCCAGGATGGCTCATCCAGCCTTGCTGTGGTCAAGTGAAACCACTCCCTTTGTTAGAGTTCTTCCATCATTATGAAGCCTTCTGACTATATTTTGGGTCTCCATGCCAATTTCATTCAGGGAGAGATATGCAAACGAGTGTGCTTGAGTCACCAGTCTGCTTGACAGTTTCAGTTCTCCCTGTAAATCAGTGCGTTGATGTCTAGGTAACAGGAGAGAACTGCGGCCTTGTGAAGCTTGGCCTTGGCCCCAATGGGTCTCAAACCCCTCTGGACCAGGGAAAAAGCAGAGAGAACAGGGGCAAGTGGGGTCACTTAAAGGGGACCAGGGACTTTAAACTCACGTAATAGGTTTCAATTTTGGCAAGAAAAGAACCTAGGAAATAAATCTTTCACACCATCTTTTCAGACTGTCACTATTAAGTGAAACCTGGTTAAAAAAGTTCTATTTCTTCTATTATGAACAACAGTGGAGGGTTATAGGAAAGGAAGGAGCACTGTGGGATGCCTTAATTTAAGGGAAAAGTGAATTAATGGGATAGAGAGAATTCCTTCTGCTCTAATGAGAGTGCCTACCCCACCCTCGTTATTGTGGTAACATAACTTAGTAGTCTGACATAGGGCTCTGGATCCTCCCATCCCTAGGAATTGTACAGTTTAAGAATATTGGAGCAAGACACCTGTGGCACTCACCTGGCTGGTGTGGAGCCAGTATTGCAGCTTGGATTTGTTTTTGATTCGTGGTAGCAGCAGCCTGTATACTATGTGCTCACCAATGGTGGTCAAAATGGACAGACCAAATCCAATGCACAGCAGCACAAAGAGCCCAGAGAAGTGTTTGATGCCCATTTGCAAAGTCTGTGACAGAATAGGAAAGAAAAGGCCATGAATACAATGATATACCTGGCCCAATGCTTGTGTACTCTTTGGTTTTCAGATGGATATTCATTTTTTCTGGACTCAAGGACAGCTGGAGACTATTTCTCCCTGTGTGTTCTGTGACCTTCATTATACATCATGAAAGAAATTCAGCCAGGGTTGGACTGAGGGCTGCCGAGGAGCACCCAATGCCTAGAGGGTGAGAAATAAAAATAAAATTAAAAGCTCTCCAACCGACTGAACGAACTTTCTCTTGTCCATGGGGACCCCGAAGAAACCTTAAAAACTGAGTTCCTGGCCTTGATTGGATGGGAGGTCTGTCATGCCTCAGTTGTCCCTTCCTTATTAACCTTTAGCCATAATTCATTCTTAAGAAGTAAGCAAAAGCTAGCTCTGGAAAACAAGAAACCGATAACTCATTGCTTTATCACCTTTAGCTAATCATCTAAGGCCATAACCAGATTCTCCCTCCCTCTTTGCAGTTTCAGTGTGACAGCTCACCAGTTTCCCAATGCACCCTTCCTAAAAAATGACCACAATCTCCAGATGGTTTTGGCCAACTTGTGGGGGATGCATAGTGAGGGTTTTCATGTCCTCTGCTTCACATTTGGACATCAGAAGACCAAAATCTCCACCCTCGGGTCATGCTAACACCACCATTTTTTGAACATGGGCCCAGGAAGAGGCATGAAGCTCAACTGCACATGTGCATGTATCTCTTTTCATAAATATTTATGACTCCTCCTATAGCTTACTCAATACGTATACTCAGCCACCCCACTCAGCATAAATTCCTGTTCCCTTTTACCCCTCCCTTGAAGTGCTTGCTCTCAGCTTCTGCTGAGGCTATGCTTCCCATTCTGCAGGATGGCTGGCCTGCTGGCTGCAACCCTTTATGAGAACTAAAGATCTCCTGGCCAAATTTATGAAGCTCATGATTCTTCAGTTGACAGGCGCTATTCGTATGTTAATCCACTGTGCAAATGGCCCCTGGAGTTGTGCCAAGGCCCTGGGTCTGGACCACCTTATGGTCTCTTAGAGATTGAGAGAGATAGAGATAGAGAATTGAAACAATTTAATATACCTGGTAGCTGTCAAGGAAAGAACGTCCCTCAGGGAAGAGAATGAGTAGATTTAAGGGGAAAAAGATGGTGAGTTCAGTAACTTTGGAATTTGGATCTGGTAGGGAACATGGAAATCATCTAGTTCATTTACAGAGGAGGAAAGTGAGACCAGAGAAGTGTAGTAAACCGAGCCAAGCCACAAAAAAGGCATAGAAGAGAAAGAGAAGGAACTTAATGATATTTATTGGTTGCTTACTTTCTGCCAAGTGTTTTACATTAAAATAGATATATAACGTCTATTTTATAACTAAGGAAAGTGGAGTTACTGCAACTTTTAAGTGGCAAAGTTGGTCTTTCAGTCCATTTCTGTTCAGCTCCAAAGCCTGGGCTCTTTCTGCTCTACTGCTATATACCAAAACAGCAGCAGTTATAGCAACAATAGTAGTTACAATAAATATCTGTGGCCAGCACTTTGCTAAGTGATTTGTGTAGATTAAGAAAACCCTCACATGTACTCTAAAACAGCCATTATTTAGCCATTGACATCAATGACAAGAGTCAATCCCGTAGAAGTAAAAATACATAATATATTGAGTTAATACTAGGTGCCAGGCACTCTTCTGCGTATCATGGGATAGAGATAGAAGGAAGTTATATCTTTCCTTTTAAACAGCTTGAGTCTAGGGAGAAAACAAACATATACCTCCATGATACATTTGATCCATGCTTCCTGGGATTTGTGGGGAAGCTGGTTCATGAGATAACATTTGAATAAGACAGGCAGGATGGGGAGGTTGGGTGGGGAAAGTGAACATACTAACCTGAGGGTAGCATAAACAAAGGAAAAAAGACATGACTTTCCTGGACAGTGGTATAGTGTTGTGAAACTGACTGCTGTGGCTGAAGGAAAAGTATACAAGGCATGAATAGTGCCATAGTTTGAATGTATATGTCCCTCTCAAACTCATATGTTTAAACCTAAACTCCAAGGGTTGGTATTAAGAGCCCTTATGAAGGGATGAGTGCCCTTATAAAAGGGCTTGAGGAAGCTAGCTAGTCCCTTTTGTTGCCCTTCCAGCCTTTCACCATGGGAGGACACATCATTTGTCCCCTGTGGAGGACAAGCAACAAGATGCCATCTTGGAAGCAGAGACTGGGCCCTTACTAAGACAATAAACTTGGTGGTGCTTTGATCTTGAACTTCCAGCCTCCAGAACTGTGGGGAATACACTTCTCTTCTTTATAAAGTACCCAGTCTCGGGTATTTTGTTATAATGGCACACATGGACAAAGATATGCAGTGAGAGAGAAACAGGGCCACACTAGGCAAATCCTCAGATGCCGTACTAAGGAGCCTGGGTGTTATCCCTTTGCTGGAAGCTTTTGGTCATCATTATCATTTATAATTATTTAGCATTGAATATGTGTAAGGCACAATTCTGAGCACTTTATCAATGTAGCAACTTGCCTTATCTTTATGACAATTTATAAGGTAAATACTGGTATAATCTCCATTTTATAAGTGAAGAAACTGAGCAACAAAGAAGTTCAATAACTTGTCCAAGGTCACATAGCTCGTGAAGGTTAGAGCTGGGATTCAAACCCATGCCGTCTGTTTTCAGAGCCCACAGTCTTCACTGACTCATTTGTCTGATGTGAATGATCCTCCCATTCTCTTTAAAGGTTTTCCTTTCATTCTCCCCACCTCTCTCCACCTCTATTCTGGAGAAACAGCCGGCCAGGCATGATTCAGGCATAGGGTGCATAGGGAAGTCTATCTGGGGGTCAGGACTCAGAAGAAAAGGTCGGAGATTTCAGGCTGTGTTGGAGCCTAGCTCAGGAAATCTCTTTCCCTCCATGCCAGTACTGCAGGCTGTGAATCAAAGACTAGTGTTAGGGTCCCTAGAAAAGGAAAGACTAGAGCTGAGCAGGGGCTCGGAGACTGGCACAAGGCAGGAAAATTGGGCAGATGACTTGGGAATGCAGGCCGAAGCCCAGCCCTACGAAACAAGGAATGCTGGTCTGGGAAAGGGTTTGGTAGGGAAGCACGTTGGACCCCAAGGGCTTCAGAGGTACTAGGGATTTTCCTGGGACATCTCTGTGTGCAAATGGTGACTAGTTATGTAAACCTGACATGCAGAAAGTACATACAAATGTGTCTGAAAATAGTCCTTGACCTAGACCTATTTTAATGTGTACAGGATATGGCTATAATATGAAGGATTCAGTGAGTTATTGCTGTGGATTAAGAACAGACTGGGGGAATTTAGTTTGGACTGTAACATCATCAAACATTCAGTTAAACTCTGAGCAGATGGGCCCTGCTTTTTTATAAGACACTGCCAAGATGAGGAGGAAAGATGTAACTTGCAGTGAGTCATCTTGCCTTTATGGACATGACTCCCTCTGTTTCCTTGTGCATAACAATGATTAGTCTTATTTTTCTCTTAGTACCTCAATAACAAATAGGCCGTATTGTTTATATTATACATTTTTTTCTTTAAACTTCTGCTGTTTATACCCACATGCTGATAGACTAACAGAAGTAGTTATTGTTTTTAAATTTGGCATTTAATACATATGCCAGATACAATATACCTGTATTATGATCTTATAATTACCCTGTAAGTTAAGTGTTATTATCCTTATTTCACATTTGAGAAAGCAGAGGTTTATAGGGGTTAATAACCTTACTTACCCAAGATCATGCAAGCTACTAAGTCGGGATCCAGGCTGCGGATCCAGGACTGTCTGATGCCAAAGCCTGCAATGCTTCTCAAACAATCGCCATTTATAGGTATCCTTTTCTAGTTGAATCTTCACTATTCGCTATAACAACTATCACAATTTTTTATTTAAAACTCACATTGGAATGGAAAATCCACTATCATCTGCCTGTGAACACCAGAGAAAATGTTTCAATTGTGTCTGAGTCTGAGTGACAAGACATACAGCTGCCTTTGTAATTCAGCGGTTCCTCCCCTAGGATCACATTGTTTAAATGTGCTGTGCATATGTGCATCTTCCCCATATTATCAAGTGAAAACTTTCTTTCTAGTAAAAAACTGCTCAACTTGATACTCATTATTGGTCAGAGGAAGAAAAGAAGGAGTTATGAATATTCAATATCAAATATTTAAAATACACTCAGGTGATGCAGACAAAATGATAATTGCAGCTGCAAGTGACTTGAGTGGTAGCACATTCAGAAATGCAAGCAGAAGTCCAGTCTCATGCTGTCAAGGGCCATGTAAATGAATGCAAAAAGAATGCAAACAAACATATGTTTTGAGGTTGTTGTTTTTTCCCCCTTTATCCCATTGCTTCAGCTGCAGCTTCATTTGCTAGCTCATAGCCACACACTTCCAGAGACTCAAGGGCCAGGGAGAGAAGGCTGTCACAGGATTGATTGATTTGATTGGATTTTTTGAGACAGAGTCTCACTCTGAGGCTCATACTAGAGTGCAATGGCACAGTCTTGACTCACTGCAACCTCTGCCTCCCGGGTTCAAGCAATTCTCATGCCTCAGCCTCCCAAGTAGCTGGGATTACAGGCATGTGTTACCACACCCAGCTAATTTTTGTATTTTTAGTAGAGACAGGGTTTCACCATATTAGCCAGGCTTGAACTCTCCACCTTAGGTAATCTGCCCGCCTCAGCCTCCCAAATTGTTGGGAATGCAGGTGTGAGCCACTGCACCCGGCTAGTCCCAGGATTGAGCCAGGGACAAATCTCAGGCATTTATTGCTCCAGTTGGTCCTTCACAAACTTACTCTAGCCCACCCCATCTCACTTAGGCAACTCTTTAACTAGTAAGTAATCATTCAAAAAATTGCCTTGCTCATGTATTTCATTTTTCTAAAGGTTATTTATATTCATTATGTTTCTTTAGCATTTTATTGTTAATTTACATTAGTATATATTTACTACACTGTGAAGAAAAAACATAGTTTGTATCTGATACTGTACTCTGCATGTTGCATGGAGGAATACCAACAAATTATGCACTATACAACTAATGTTTTAAATGCTTTATGTTATGCAGAAATTCTTGGTAGATTGTCACATATCCATGCATTGTGCATTAGATATTAAATGTCTACAGGTGTCTAAGAGTGTTTTAGCGAATTTAGGGAAACTGCTTGAGATTTTTGGATGAAATAGGAATACTTTATTATTTTTTCCATTTGAAATAATGGAAAGGGCTTCCACCATCTATAAATTTACTAGCCAACACATTTCTAGGAATGGACCAAATTCAGATAAAAGGAGATGTTTGTACTATCACAGGTGTGGTCTCTGACCAGATCAGTAACATGTATAGGATAAGATTATAAACTTTGTTGTTGCCCAAACCCTGCTTTGTATTTTGTTCAGATGTCGTCACTTGAAACATCTGACAGCTGGCTCGAGTAGTGACTAGTTCTCAAGTCTCCAGCAAGAAATGCAGATAAAGTGTTTCACTCATCATTTGTTTTTGATGTTACTAATCAAGATCTATGCAGCTAATCCTTCCTTGTGCCCATTCCACACCTCCCAGCACATAGCAACCACCTGATTTCTCTGGTTTTCTAGAGTGTTGTCTATACTCATTGCTTCTAATTCCTTTTCTCCCATTCTCCCTTAGACCCTCTTCAATCAGACTTTTGTCCCCTCCCATCACCTGTCAAACAATTCCTGTAAAAGTAAAAAATGGCCTCCATATTGCCAAATCTAACGGTCAGTTTTCACCTTATTCATGTATCGGCAGCTTGGACGCCATTGATTACTCCATCTTCTTTGGTATAGTTTCTTAACTTTGTTTTTGTGATACTTCTTTCTCTTTGTTGTACCTTAGTCTCTTTTGCTTTTCTTCTTCATCTTTCTGACTGTAAACATAGGCATGCTTTCAGTTTTTCAGCTACACTCATGTTCTCATTCAGAGTCAGCTTTAAATACCACCCAGATGTCAATGACTCCCAAGAGTTGGGGGCTTTTCTGTCCTAACTTCCTACTCTGCCTCTTTACTTAGGTAATGAACGGACATTTCAAAGATAACACATTAAAAGCAAACTCCTAATTTTCCCTCTGAAACCTGCTGCTTACACAGTCTTTCTCATCACAATGAACCTCCATCCTTGCCATGACACAGGGAAAAAAACCTTAGAACCACCTTTGATTCCTGTCTTTCTCTAGCATCCCATTACCCTGTGTATCTGCAAATATGGTGGAACCGACCTTCAAAGTATATCCAGAATTCAACATCCCACCACCTCCACCAACCACCCTGATCCAAGCCACCATCCCCTCTCACCTCACCTAGATTATTGAGACAGCCTCCTAGTTGTTTTCCCTAACCCCTTCTGTCTTCTTCACAGCAGTGAGAATGACTGTCATGTCACTCCTGTGCTCAATGCCTGGTCATGGTTTTCTGTCTCTTGCGGAGTAAATTCAGAGTCCTTGCAATGGGCTATGAGGCCTCACAAGATCTATTTCCTCATATCCTTCTTCTCTCTCGCTGGTTGACTTTGCTCAGCCATTTGGGCTTCCTTATTGTTCCTTAAATCTATTGAGCAACTTGCCACTTGAGGGTATTTTCATTTTCTGTTCGTGCCTGTAAACTCTTCTGCCAGGAATCAATATTGCTCCTTCCCTCACTTTCTTTAGGTTTCTTCTCAAATGTCACCTATCCATGAAGTTTACCCTAATCACTGTGCTTAAAAAGGCAAATTCTTTTCCCCCTTCCATCCTCTTTCAGATACAATCTATCTCTCTTACTTTGCTTTATTTCTCTCTTGACATAGTATGTGTTTATTTGTTTATTGCCTATTTCCCCAGCAAAGTAGAATGTAAGCTACAGGAGGGCAGCACTTTTGTCCATTTTGCTCGATACATACTCTTGTTTAGAACAGTGCCCAGCACGGTGAATATTTTTTAAATGAATGAATGAAAGCATATGAAAACTAGGATTTTTTGTATAAAATAAATTTGCATAATTTCCCCCACCCCCGATCCCAAACAGTCTCATTATATCACAGAAGCTTCCTAGAACAGTTGTTTAAGAGAGAAGGGTGGAGATGGACATTCTCAATTAAAAGGAGAGGAAACAAGGCCCAGTTTTGCTAGCCTGACCTGATCATGCTAATATTCACCAATCTAGGGATCTACTGTTGAAACTGGGACAAAAAATTTTTTAAATTACTGAAGTAAAACACTGGAAACTGAATGCAAAAATTTCAGGAGGAATGTATTGATTTTGTTTTCTTAGGATCCTTTCTTTGGGGAACTGCCCTCTTCCTGCTTCATGTGGTTTTGGTGTATCTACCAATCACAGACTCCCTGCTCCCTGTTCACCAGGCAAAGCATGAGACTCAAGGCCAGTCAATGTGAATCTGAAACAGAAACACTGGATATCAAAGGTGTTTGGAGATGAGTCATTTCCAATGTCAGTGCCCCAAAGACATAGTCCCCTAGTTCCTGCACTAGCATCCTTGGAGTGCTGTGGTTCGAGGCTTCATCTGTCACTCTCTTTCTTACTTCAAAACATTGAGCTTTCCCGTTATTCTTTTGATAGGTTTTGCTTAAGTTTAAAAATCTGTTGCAGCCGGGCGCAGTGGCTCACGCCTGTAATCCTAACACTTTGGGAGGCCGAGACAAGTGGATCATCTGAGGTCAGGAGTTCGAGACCAGCCTGATCAACATGGTGAAACCCTGTCTCTACTAAAAATACAAAAATTAGTCAGGCATGGTGGCAGGTGCCTGTAGTTCCAGCTACTCGGGAGGCTGAGGCAGGAGAATTGCTTGAATCCGGGAGGCAGAGGCTGCAGTGAGCTGAAATTGCACCACTGCAATCCAGCCTGGGCAACAGAGCGAGACTCCATCTCAAAAAAAAAAAAAAAAAATCTGTTGCTTGCAACCAAATAATCTGATTCAATATATGTACTGTTTAAAGGATTAAGGTCCTCTAGCTCCGAGGTGTGAATATAACTTCTTTTGAGATAGACTGTATCCTGACGCAGATCTCAGAAATGAACGGGTGGAGCCTGTTTTAGGAAGTCTTCTCTGACAGGGTAAGGCTGTGTTGCTTTTGCCTGTCTCCAGCAGCCTAGTATATAGTAAGTTCAATAAAAAATAAAAAGCACATGTCTGAAAAGTAACTTAATTACATTTACTCTGACATTCCCTATTAAATATTTTTCCCCAGAGCAAAATGACTGCAAGAACCTGGGAAAATAATTGTATTTTTCAGTGACCTAATGCACTAAGCTTTGTATCATCTCCTCTCTGGATCTGCACAGCCAAATGCGATGTTCAAGAATTTTTTTCCTTAATAAGAGAGCTGGTGGCAGGGGGAGAAATAATGATTTTAATGAGAGGTAAGGAAAAGAAAAAGGCTGTGGTGCTTCTGAAATATGGATGACTCATAGATGCTTGGAAGCAGGACAAGGAAGAAGCAAATGCTATTTCTAATTTTGAAGACCTGGTATCTATTTTATTTATTTATTTATTTATTTATTGCCTCCTGATTATTTTGCCCAGAAGAATAGTTAGTTGCTCAAAAGAACTTGGCAGATTCATTGCTGTGTCTATACATATGGCCCCTTGTTGGGGAGAAGTAGGAGAATGATATCCACATGAAATGTGGGCTCCAGATGTACCAAAGACAGAGTTTCCCAGGTGAGAGAGTCTGGTTGAAGAGAGTTAGGTAAGATTGTGCGGTGCAATCATTTGGAATTAAAACATATATATTTAACAAGAATCATGAAGAGGGAGAAAAAAGATTCATTCAGAGAACCTGGAAGTTTCTCATTAACCAAGACATAGTGAAAGATCACACTTAACAAAAGAAACAGAAGAGGAGATAATTTATTAACACAAAATCCAGGGAGACACTGCATGAGCCTGAGTAGTGCTCACACATTTGGATAAACAAGGATTTTGACAGCACTCTCTGCATTCCTCTAACCTGGAAACTGCTTAGTGGCTCATCAACATGGCACTGCCCATGTTGCTGTGAAGATGCTTCTCTCTCCCTGTTTCTTGGGATTCTTGAGCCCCCATTTCTTTTAAGCTTGGGCGACCATCTTTTAGGGTTGAAATTGTACTTAATTTGCCACATTAGCTCTGTTGTGCAGTTTTTTGAAAAATTTATTATTAAAACGACTCAGAAAAATATTTTTAAAAACTAAATGTGAGATTACCCATAATCCTTGTACTATAAAACAATTACTTTCAATGCTCCATTTTCTCTTCTGAACAATGACCATATGCACACATATTCTTCAGAGTTCTAAACATAGGATATAACAAGTTTGCATTATGCTTTTAAAAGAACTTATTTTCTAACAAACTATTTTAATATTTCTAAAAATATTATTTTCTAAATATTATTTTATTTATTAACTTTAGTTGCCTAATACTATCACCTATTGTTTTTGTTATAATTGACTTGACTACTCCCAAACTGTGGTTGTTTAATTTTTTAAATATTATAATTTATGGTATATACGACAAATATTGCTACAATAAAAATTTTGTGTATAGTATTTTTTTTTCTTTTTTTGAGATGGCGTTTCACTGTGACTCCCAGGGCAGAATGTAGTGGAGCGATCTCAACTCACTGCAACCTCCGCCTTTCTGGTTCAAATGATTCTCCTGTTTCTGCCTCCCAAGTAGCTGGGACTAAAGGCATGTGCCACCACGCCTGGCTGATTTTTGTATTTTTTTAATAGAGATGGGGTTTCAGCATGTTGACCAGGCTGGTCTTGAACTCCTGACCTCAAGCGATCCACCTGCCTCGGCCTCCCAAAGTGCTGGGATTAAAGACGTGAGCCTCTGCACCTGGCCATGTATAGCATTTTAAAATATTTTTATTTCTTTGAGATATACATTGCAATGAGTGAGATTACCTGGTCAAAGGATACAACTGTTCTGATGACTTGTGATGTGTAAAATGACCCATAAAAAGGGTGAAAGCCATTCCCAATGCCACCAAAGATACTGCAATGCCTAGAAGGCTTCTATTTTTGCCAACTGTTTTATAATTATTCATTTTTCCTGTTTTAAATATTGTAATTTGTATTTATTGAATTAGCAAGCCTATTTTTCCATGTTTGTTTTACCTATCTCCTTTTGAATGAATCATATAATGACTTTTTTGCATATTTATTTATGCATATCAGACACAATGAAGCTTTTTTTTGAAAAACTGCTAACCCTTTTGCTAACATGTTATGTTTCTCCCTTTTTATGTTTTCTTTGTTTTGTTATATTTTATTATATAAAAGTTTGAAGTTTTACACAGCTATACTTATTTTGATTATTGTACATTTTTCTACTGTTTCAGGCATTAGAACATATTGATTATGGGGATAAATATTTTGTGTCCAGTGTTATATCTTTAAAAAATAGTGAACCCTTCAGTCCATTTTGAACTTCTGTGCCAAAGAGTGTAACTATGTTAATTTTTCTTCACTGAAACTCTTAATTTCATCTCAATATTTCAGAGACTCCTTAGTCAATAAAAAGCTACCTCCATATTAGAGTGACCTGCATTTCTTTGTAGTAATTTAGGTTTTTATTTAAAATCTTTAAAGGTTTTATTTAAAATATTGGTAATTTTTAAAAAACATTGTGAGAACAAACACCATGTAAAACCAGTAACAACGAAAGCAAACATTTGTAGGTCAGAGTTAGCCTGTGAGTAGTCAGACTGTCTTCTGATCTACACAGCTTTACTGCTACTACGGTGACCCTTCAGTGTTAGAATTTTTCATTATGAATCAGCTAATTCCTGATGATTCATGATTTATAGTTCACAGTCATTGGCTACTGGGGTAGGTACGGTAGTTGACACGGCAGCAGAGAAGTCCGGTCTGATTCTCAGTCTGGTGGCCTTGTTCCTCTACCATAATGACACTCTATTTATTTATTTATTTATTTATTTATTTATTTATTTATTTATTTATTTTTTTGAGATGGAATCTCGCTCTGTCACCCAGGCTGGAGTGCAGTGGTGTGATCTCAGCTCACTGCAACCTCTGTCTCCCTGGTTCAAGCAATTCTCCTGCCTCAGCCTTCCGAGTAGCTGGGATTACAGGCACGTGCCACCACGCCCAGCTAATTTTTGTATTTTTAGTAGAGATGGGGTTTCACCATGTTGGCCAGGATGGTCTCGATCTCCTGACCTCGTGATCTGCCCGCCTCGGCCTCCCAAAGTGCGGGGATTACAGGCATGAGCCACCGCGCCCGGCCAACACTCTTTTTAAAAACATCCGAGCCTCCTCCTGTTCAAAGTATTCAAAATAGATATAACACCATAGCAGACTAACTACCTACTCTATCTCTTAACAGAAAGAAAGAGTCAGTACTATAAGTAGAGAATGGAATTTATACTTTTTTTAAATAAAAAATTGTCTTCATTTAAAAAATTCATACTGTTCCTCAGACAGTGGCTTAGGAATTTGTAATTAACAAAAATGTCTGGAAGATATTTTTTCCTTGAGAATGTTTCTAAAGCATGAGAGAATATACACCAAAGCTAAATTGAATTTGCTGAGGCCATATTTTTTTCTCTGTTTCAAAAAGAGTGTCTAGTGGTCTGGGGATTGCAACATATGGTACAGAGCAGACATAATCCAATTAACATAGGATTCATAACAACATATTGTGACTGATCTCTATAGCCTCAGAGCATATTGGTTTGCGTTATCGGTTTAATCTAAATATTGTCACCTGTTTCTCAAGATGAGCCAAAGGTGGAACATGGCTTAAAACTGTCTCGTCTAACATATCTGTTTCATTGCAATGCATAGAACCAAAGAGGTGGAGGCTGCTTGTTCTTTGACAAGCAATTTACCTCTTTGGGCTTCAGTTTCATCATTTATGAAAACTGAGGCTTGATTTGATGACATGGTTAAGACTATAATAAATAATTTGTAACAGGTAGATATAGGAGCTATAAAAATAAGATAAATGCAGAGAGGTAGAAATAAAGCTCAGGATTTGGGGTCAGAAAGCCTGGTTCAAATCCATGCTTTGCCACTTACCAGCTGGGCGACTTTGGAGAAGATGCTAGATCTCTACATGGCATCATCTGTAATGCTGAAATAATGGCACCAGACTCACAGTGTTGTTATGATGATTAAATGATATGTATAACAAAGGTTATATCAAAAGTTATGGGACAATTGCTCAATAAATGTTTATTATCATCATCCCAAGAAACTGTATAGAACTAGATTTGTTGGCAACTGGCAATTAACTGACAGGAAAAACAAAGCATTCCGATTTGGGAATAAATGTGATTCTTTTAACCCAAATATCCAGTTAGATCTTTCAAGTGCTAAATCCAGATACAGGCTCTCAGTTCAAGGTCATTGCCACAAAGCCTTAGGTAACTATCTTGAGTAGATTTATTGAACAATTAGCTTGTAAATTCCAGCCACTCCAGAAACTGAAACACATTTCCTCTCTTTGTTAAATGTGAGCATGTAATCCAATATGTTTCAAGCCCTTGGTCATAATTTTAAAATTTCCATATTTTAATGTGCACATTGCAGGGTGTATAAATAATGCCTCTCTTTAATGACAATAATGTCCTCTTGGCTAGCATGACATGTGCTCACTTCCTCCATGTAAAATTCCTCCACAAAAAGTTAAATAGGTTGGGCTGGAATGAGAGATTTTGTTTTAAAAATTCTCCAGTTCTCAGGTCAGAAAGTCTGTTGTCCCCTCTGCAAATGAAGGAGTGGTGAGGACCTTGAAATTGTTCCCATTGTTTTCTCTCTGGGCTTGGACATGGGCTGTACACTAATGTCCAGTTAATTTTAGAGTGGGTGTAGCTAAGAACTAAGTAAGTGTTCAAAAGCAACCAGTAAGCCTCATGTCTCCTTTACATATTGATCTTGTAGAAGGGGAAGAAGGGGGAAGGGAAGGGAATTAGTTGAATGAAAGTGGAATTGTGCTCCAGGTGTGTTGCATGCCTTTTTGAATCCTCAAAATAACCCTGGGGTGGATCCTCTTTAATTAGGTGGAAAGACACAGAGAGGCTAAGTAAATTATTCATGCTCACACAGCTAAAAAGAAGTGAGTGTGATAACAACCCAGTTGCAACTGAATCCAAACCCAGGTGTGTCTGAATCTTTGAACATTACATAACCCTGATCACCACAGGGTTGGGAGCGTTTATCACAGTTTTTAGGGTTGAACAGGAATTGAAGGGGTAAGGATTCCTATTTTTGTGGTTTCTAAGTAATCTATTAAATACAAAAGTATATGGTAGGGTACCTTGATAGATGGGTTCCCTACAAGTGATTAAATTTGTGGACTTTTTTTTTTTTTTTCTATTTTGGTCAAGACCAGTTGCCAGCTTCTTCCAAATAAAATAGCAGTAAATCTCCTTGAAACAGATCTTCCATGTCCTGAAAAAAGTTACCTGAGTGGTATCTCTTGGCTAAGCAAGTGTAGGGAGAGTATGTTTCATTGTTCTGCTGTTTTGAGAGCCTTAAGCATCTTATATGGGAAGTGGTTCTCTGTGAGAAAGAGGATTGGTATGGAGGCACAGATGCTGGGACAAGTCCTAGCCCTGCTCTTCTGAGGACAGTTCATGCTCTGAGAACTCACAATAGTATGTGGGACACCTCAGGGAGCTGGTAACATTTGGGGTACAGGCAGTGATGTATTTACTGGTAAACAAATTCTCCAAAACAAAACAAAAACAACTAAAAGCTTTTGTTCTTTTCTCACCATGGCTGATCTAAAGCTACCAACATGACATAAATGCGTGGGAAGAGACACATGCATTCTGGATCTCCCCTGGAACCACAGGCTCCGGCTCACCCAATGGTGGAGATCTGTTAGTGTGTGAGGACTTCTGCACTGAATGTTCCACTAGGGAAAAGGCTTCCTGGAATGAGAGAGCTCTCAGTTTCTCTTCTAGGCCTCAGATCTGATTTTCAAAATCAGCATAGCTGGTGTAGCTAGCATCCACCTCTGCTGTGGAGACACAATTGTCAGTCTCTGCATCTGTGAGCAACAGACATAATGCCACTTTGGCATCCTAGGGAGATTCCACTGCAGCCTGACTCTACTGCCTCTCCTCCGTAGGACAACTAACTAAATGTCTCATTGTCTCCACCTGGGGGTAGGGACCAGTGTCGGAGGTGAGAGCACTTTCTGGGAGAACACTTTGCTTGCCCTATTTAGCTGGAGGTCCCCTTCATTGAAATTAATGCTGGTGTGGGCTGCCAACCCTGGAAACCCACTGCTAATGAGGATGATGGCTGAGCTGGGCACTTAGTCCAGGCTTAGCATTTCCTATAAGAGCCCTGAAGCTAGTTTCTGTTCAGGAGCTGGAGCAACAAGTCAGGAGGAGGCCAAATGAACTCCTACCCCTCAAACATGCACAGCGATTTCTGGATGCATTGTGGGGAATGGGGCTGCAATCTGCCGAAGGAAAAGATGGGATTCTGTCCCCTAAGAAAAGTGATTACGAGATGCCCAGCAAAGACAAATATATTTGTCCCTGTTGCTACAATAGGAAGTTAACAATCTGGCAAGATATCTGAACACAAGCAAATGAAAACAGTTCACCTAACACCCATGCAAATTATAAATTTCCTCCCATATACAAAATGATGAGAAATAACAGCAAAAATGTATACTTTCTTATTTTTGAACTTTTAAAGTTCTAGTTTGGTCTTTGAATCAAAACAAAGTAAAAGATGTTTATAAAAGCCATTTCCTTTTCTTTCCCCACTATGCTCATTTGACTTGCTCTTCCCCCTATAGGGTACCCTGAGTCATTCAGAGAAGGAGAATTAATAGCACTGAGTTGGTGATGAAGCTCCTGTTAGGACATATGGCTTCACAAAAAGAAATACTTCCAGATAAGTCAGAGAGACAGTTGGACGTCTTGAGCAAATCTTGAAAGAGATAGGGAAGAAAGCAGAAGTTGTTGGGTGGTGCTTGTAAGAAAAAGGCTCATACGATGAGGACCAGCTTCTTGTGGATCTCCAGGTCTCTGACCACAGCACTGAATTCCTCAAAGGATATCTTCCCATCGCCATCCTTGTCCAGGATGATGATGGTTTTGTCGACCAGCTGCTGGAGCTGCCAGTCCGTCAGGTTGTTGCCCACCATCATCTTCAGCACCTGGAAGAGCTCCCCGTTGGAAATGTAGCCATCTTTATCCATGTCGTAAATGCTGAACGCAAACCTCAACTTCTGCTCCTCGTCGCCCTTGACGCTGAACTGGGAGGTCCCCAGGATGAATTCCTTGAAGTCCACTTCTCCATCACCGTCGGTGTCGAAGACGTCGATCACTCGCCGCACCAACGGGTTGTGGCGCAGCTCCGGCAGGGACATGAACTCCTCCACGCTCAGAGACCCTGATTTGTCCAAGTCCAACTTCTTAAACCTCCTGCCCAGCCTTTTAATTTCATCATTGTCAAAGTGGGAGCACATCTCCGCCGGGTAACTGGCCTCGTTTCCCATTGTGGACATCTGGCAACGGCCACGGCTCAAAGGGTCGGAGAGGGGAGCAGGGGCGGTGAGCTCGGGCGGGGCTCGTGCCCGGACGGTTGGGCCATGGGGTGGGGGTAGAGGGCTCCCGGGGGCCCTGGTCGAGCAAAAGGGCAGGGGAGCGGAGGGAGGGGCGGCAGGTCAGAGAGGGAGCGGAGAGAGGAGGGAAAGAAGGAGGGAAAAGGGGGCGGAAGGGGAGGTGGGTGCTGTCTGGGCAGGAGTATAGGGAGGAGAGAATGGAGCCTGGGGGTGCCCGGGAGAGGCAGAGGTGGAAAGCTGGGCTGCCCCTTCTCTTTTTCCTTCTCTCAAACTCCTTGTACCTTTCCATGATAACCCCAATTTCCCTGGCAATTATTTTATCTACTTATTTCTTTTTTTTTTTTCTCTGAGAAAGTAAACCCCAAAGGAGAAGGGATCGCACCTGTGTTATTCGCTGCAGTATCCCAGAAGCACAGTGCTTCACAGGCAATATGTGCTTAATAAATATACGCCGAATGACTGAACTGCAACCAAGGACACTGTATACTTGCTTTACAGACCTAGTGTAAGGATGAAACAAGGTGACACATCAAGGCATTGATATAGTATGTTTTCCACGATTCCCTGGGAGGGGAAGCCGGGATTGACATCCTTCTGTACCTTTTTCAGGACGTAGGATTCAGAGTGTTTGTAAGAGACCAGGCAGATACCGCGCAGAATTTCTTACATGGATCACCTACAGGCACTAACATATTCCCGAGGAATATAAACAATGCTGAATTCAGGGCGTTTTTCAAGATGACACAGGTCTCAAGAACACAACCTCTGTTACTCTGTTCCCTCTTATCCATCATCTCATGCCCGAGTCACATCTTTGTTGTTGGTGCCTGGCGGCTATTCTGCAGAATACCTTGGGGGAAGGTCTGCAATGTGCCCAAAGAAGCCTTTTGTGTGTGTTGAGAGTGACAGTCGCCTCTGGATGATCTCACTTTTCTCCTTTTGTTTCAACTAGATTTGTTCTTTCTGTTGAAGACTAATCTCACATGCTCCCTCTTATTCCTTCTTCCTTTCGGAGCGCATCAATTACTCCAAATGCATAAGAAACAAATGTGGTTCAAGAGCAAACAGTTCAAAGGGACTTGGGGGAACCTCAGGCCACTACATCAAACTGAAAGATGCAAACACTCCTTCGCTTTAAAAAATGTTGGCAAGTTCTGTGTTCTATAGTTCAGCCAAAATATCAGTCTAAAGATAACCATGCTGGAACTAGCAAAACTAAGCCACTGATCACCTTATCATTAAGTCTGGCCATTTTACTTTCCTCTATAAACAAATGATAATCCATGGATATGTTTTAAAGCTGATTATGGGCATTACACAAATGAAACCCCCTTTCCCAATTAGACTGTTATATTGGAATGTTTTTTTGTTTCATTTATTTGCTTGCTTTTCAGTTATTCAGAGAAATGAGCATGGTACAGTTTGCATATAAGCCTATTGAATTTGCAATATTAAGGATACCACCTTAAATTATATTACAAGATGCCTAAAATCAGTGTTGGTCTCTAAATGATACCAACCACTATAGCCTGTGTTCTTTCTAAAGCACAAAGACCTTTCTGGACTCTCTGGGGGAAATATCCAGGCCCTGCAGGTGCAGTTCTGAAAAAATCAGAAACCTCAGGGGCAAGGACAGAACTCTATCTTTTGGGCATGCACTGGGGCTGGGAGCCTCTAGAATTGTGTTATTTCTCTCATCTTGTGTCTTTGACCACAGTGTAGTCCAGTTTCTTGGCTGCAAGTAAAAGAATCTACCTCTAAGAAGCTTAACATGAAAGATAATTTGTTGGAAGAATCTCACATAATCTAAAGAAGAGCTGAATGATTCAGTCTTAGGAAGGGTGAGGATCCCACTGGGTTTAAGGAAATATTGGAACCAACGCCTCAGGACCAGTTATGTAATTTGCAGTGTCCTTTGTTTGAAAATGATTGAGAGCTTCAAGATGGCCACAGCAGAACATTAAACCAAGTACGGGACCTTATGAGACTGCGTGGGCCACATGCCCATGAAGCTGGCCCTGCAAGGAGTTGGGCCCATTGACCTCTCTGTGCCTTTCACCTCTGCTTCTCTTTCCTTCACTCTCTCCTATGGTAAAGCAATTCTTCCACATTGCAGAGGACACAACCACTGACAGATTCCAAGTTAAGACTTTGGGGATTTTATCATCAGAAAAGACGGACTTTTCCCTGTTCTAGTTAGATGCCCATAAATCCCATGAACAGGCTCTGATTGGTCTCACTTGGGTTGGGTTCCCACCTATGAGCCATCAGACATGGCTTATAACATATGGGAGCTTCCATTTGAACCTCATGGATGGAGCTGGTCGGGGGGAAGTGGGGGCTGGGTAGGAAGAGCAGGTACCAAAAGAAGCACATGCTCTTCCTTATAAGAACAGGGTAATGCTGAGCAGACAGAACAACAGATGGACATTAGACAGGTCCATTAGTGCTGACTCTATAGGAGAGAGGAAGCATTTTGAACTCCCTTCAGTTTTGCCAACTGAATAGGCCACAGATCCTGCTATAGTTACAGGCCTCCACTAGCTCATTCATTAGTGCCAGGTCCATCTTATTATTTGCTAAAATATCCCTTCACCTCTGTGTAGATAGAATTGGTATCTCACTTGCAGACACTCTTGTGTTTACAAACTGTGGGTTACAACACATTAGTGAGTGATGAAGTTGGTTTAGTGAGTTACAAACAACATCAAAAAAATAGAACAGCAGATAATTGAAGAGAAAGTATCATCTGTAAGGGGAAGTACTATTACTTCATAAAGTTGTTTATAAAGTTGTAAAAAGTTTACTTCATAAAGTTGTAAAACTAAATATAGTATATATATGATAAAGGAATACCAGGTCATTCTGGGTTTGCAATATGACATATTTTCTTGCTTGGATTATGGTAAAAAATAAAGACAGTCTGACATATACTATAGAACATAGTGTTTTGATATCTTATGTTATAGGCTCATGAGCCATGAGAATAATTCAACAGCAAAAACATTTTCATACTGGTTGGTTCTCTGTGAGATCAGTATGTGGGGATAAAGTAGATGAATCTTGGAATAATAATCTATAGCAGTGCTGTCTAATTATATATGTACTTTTAAATTTTTAGTAACATTAAAAAGCAAAGAAGTGAATTTTAATAATATATTTATATTAACCCAATATATCCAAAGTGTTACCGTTTCAACATGTAACCAA
The DNA here is from genome assembly GCF_000001405.40 of Homo sapiens. Lineage (NCBI taxonomy): Eukaryota > Metazoa > Chordata > Mammalia > Primates > Hominidae > Homo > Homo sapiens. Next base: position 101,598,198 of record NC_000009.12, read on the forward strand.
TATTATCATTTATGAATGAGTTGTTTTACACTTTTTGTACTGTATTTTATATTTACAGCACATGTCAATTAGAGCTCATAACATTCCCAGTGCTCAGTAACTACATGTGGCCATCATAGTGGACAGCACAGAGCTAGACAGTTTAATGGAAAAGGAAAGATATGGAGGCTAAAATATTTGATGGTTGAATTATTATCCCAATTGAATTAATTAGGTTAAAAAGAGGTATTATTAATTAGGTATTATATTATAAGGTAGAAAGGATTTAAAATGGGACAACCCAACATCAAATCTTAACAGTCCACTTAGTAGCAGTAAGACCTTGGACAAGTTGCTTGACATTAGTTTTCCCATATGAAAAATGGGGCTAATAATATATATTTTGTACATTTTTGTGAGTATTAAAGCTAATGTTAGTCAATATAATGTCATTATCATCATTGCTATTATTACTAATTTTATTGTTACTTACCCTACTAGTAGAGATGAAGTCTTAAAGGATACCAGCCTGCCCTGGACACCTAAGTGTACATATAGCCATTTAACAACACTCCTCATGTAGTGGTTACAGTATGCCACAGGCTGCTCACACGCTATACCAGCATAAAAATTGGCTCCTCCAGTTCAAAACTCTTTGAGGACTGATTACAGACCTTCCATTGCAGACTTGAGAAATGCAGTAACCAACATCACTGGCCCATCAGGCACTCTTATGGATTCCTCACTTACATTCTCCTGAGTAATTCCTTGATAGTCATTTAGAAAGGAGCTCCCAGTGTGAAAACTCTTAGCTGTATTTCCCTATGTGAGTGTGTGGTTAGGAGGTAGGAAAGGGTAATGGAGAGAGCATAGGAGGTAAATAGTTGGTTCCAGCCTCAGCTCTTTACCTTATTAGCTGTGAGCCTTTGAGTGAAGCCATTGCTGTACCAGCCTCAACATCCTCATCTGTGAAATGGTGATAATACCTACACATGCTTCATCTACCGATGTGTTATTGTAAGAGTCAGATGAGGTAGCGTATATAGAAATGTTATGTAAGAGGTGAAATCTTGTCACAGGAATATTGAATGGTTACACAGACAGTATTAGGAAGATGGTACCACTTCACTGAAATAATTCAGGTGTACAAGCAGAACCATTCTACTCTGTGCTGTAGAGGAGGTAACATTATGCTAGATCTGGAGTTTTAGTCAATGTGAACTTGAGTTCCCATTGTTCTACCTTTCATAAACTATGTAGCTCAGCATTATTATGGGACTCAACACCATTGTTTTGATTTTCTCTGTAAATGATTCTTAGTAATTTCCATGGAAAACACTGTTTGTTACTTTTCTGTTCATCACTGTGGATTGATGTGGACTGTAGGACATTCACTGAAGCAAGTAAATTAAAAGGGTTGACTAACTGTTTTGGAAGAAACCAGGAGCCTTGATGGCACCTCTATTTCAGCATGTCATTTTTTTCCCTCAAAAGTTTTTAGATAAAGAAATATTGAGTAGGTCACATGTAAAAATAACTGACATTGGAAAATCAAACCAACGGAAATGGAAATGAGACCTGAGGTTCATATAAGGCTTCATTTTTCAAGCCAGTCAGGAGACCAGGTCACACAGCTGTTCTAGAAGCTATACAGGTGGTCCTTGACATTTGGTTGGAAGCTCTCACCTTTCTGTAGCATTGCCGGTCACCATATTTAATATCTAAGCGTACTGACGTTAGCCACAGTTTAGACTGTGGAACTACTAGCTCGAGTTTAAACTGTTTTTGAGCATCAGGTTTGTCATCTGTTTGGTTTTCTTTTGTAATACTGAAATGGTGTTTAATGAATTTTGGCATGTATGGTTTTAAATCAAAGTTTTGCTATTTAACAACTTTGTGACCTTGGGCAGAGTTACTTATCTGAATCTTTTCACTCATCTGTAAAACAAGGATGATGATTACTAACTCATAACATCACTTTCAGGATTAAATGAGATAGATTATAAGAAGAAGGGTGCTCAATGCCTATCACATAGTAGGTACAGGAATGGTAGAGATTATAATTATTGCCTACTTTAGGCTTGCTTAAAAACTCAAGTAGACTGTATGCATACATGCACACAGATATACTCAGCTATTTATTTGTTTTCTCAACAAATAATTATTGAGGATCTACTATGTGAGAAGAATATAATACTGACCTAAAGTGGATACTTTTCTTGTTGTCCCTGTTCTCCTGGAGCTTACAGTTTTGATGGGAAGATGGACATTAACCAAATTATCATGTCCATAGATGTAAAGGAGCACCTGCCTTGAGTGTTACAGATGAGAAGTACATGGTACCAGGAGAGTTTGGACAACAGAAAACTTTTACTGGGGAAATGATGACTGATTTACAATCTCAAGAAGCAGAAGAAGTTAACTAGATGTTCTGGGAAGGAATGAGTGTTCCAGGTAGAAGAAACTCCATGTGCAAAGAGGCCCTAGGGCAGGAGGAACAAAACAAGTAGGAGGAACTGAAAGAATGCCAGTGTGACTGGAGTAGGGAGGTCAAGGGAGAGCATATGGAGCATACCGGAGTAGGGAGGTCAAGGGAGAGCATGGTATTGGACGAAGTGATAAGATGGTTTGACCATTCCCCATACACTGAAGAAAAGACAACATTTACTCAATTATTCTTTATAGGGCATCATTTATTCAATCATGTTTTAACATGTAAAGCATTGGGACATTCAGAGATGGTCTTTGCTCAGAAAGCTTGCTGATCAGTGAGTGAATTGAGGCATTAAAGAATTATAATTAATAATACAAGATGGACAACAAAACATGTCATCAGAGAGGTAAGGGAAAAGAACTATAAGAACTCAGAGAATTGAGAAATTACTTCTTGCTGGGAACAATAGAGGAAGACTTTTTTCTTTCTTCAAGAAGTATTTGATCCTGAGGGAGAAAAGGGAACAAGTACCATAATCACAGAAGTGGGAAAGAGTACAGGTGTAGATATTAGCAAGTTGCTTATAATGGCTGAAGTACTTGAGCAAAGTAGCAGAAGATGAGCTAGACAGAACCAGATGAAGCAGGGTTTTGAATGTTTGGCTAAGACATTTAGTCTCTACCCAGTAGGGAAAGCACACGTTTTATCAAAAGAACAACTTAATCACAATTATATTTTGGAGAGATTAATCTGGCATTATGGGTAGATTGAATAGGACAAGAGACCAGTATCTGGGAGAGCAGCTAGGAAACAATGACATCTACAAATGCTTGTCTAGAAGAGCCTGAGCTGGGATGCAAGAGGCACTAGAAGTAAAATGTGGAGTGTATTAATTATTTTGCAAGAGCTGTTGTAATGAAGCAGCACAAACGGGGTGGCTTAAACAACAGACATTTATTGTCCCCTAGTTCGGGAGGCTAGAAGTCTGAAATCAAGGAGTTGGCAGGGTCATGCTCCCTTTGAAACCTGTAGGGCAACCCTTGCTTGCCTCTTCCTAGCTCCTGGTGGTTTGTGGTCATCTTTGGCCTTCCTGACTTGCAGATGCATAAATCCATTCTCTGCCTTCATCATCACATGGTGCTCTCCCTGAGTGTCTGTCTTTGTGTGATAGATGGCTTCTGACAAGGATGCCAGTCATACTGGATTCGGGGTTCACTCTTGCTGCAATATGACTGCATCTCAGCTCAACCAAACATGTCTGCAATGACCCTATTTCCAAACCAGAACACATTCTGAGGTATTGAGAATTAGGACCTCAGAACCTCAATATCTTTTTTGGGGGACACAATCCAACCCATAACACCTAGGCTGAAGTCTTATTGGACAGAAGGACAGAGGGAAGGAGCTCAGAGGAGGCCCCAGATGTGCGTGCATTGGCTTCCCTGGCCAGCTAGCCCTAAGCTTTCATGTTGCAGGAAGCCACCTATACTGTGTGAGAAGAGGGGCATCTCTATAAAGGCTCCAGGGCTCTCTCATGATGTTGCCTTCTCATCCAACACGTCCTGAAATTCTACCAACTCCCACAGCCGCATGGGGAGGAATTGTCCTCAGATACCCTGGAGGAAATGTCAGGGCAATTTCTCACAATTTTAGACTTGGTTTTTGCCTTTTGTGAGAAAGAAAAAAGATGGCTTTTGCAGTATTTTGTAACAACTCGCATCAATAGCCACTAGATGGCAATCTTCACACATTTCCATGCTTTCTCCGCTTTCTTCAAACCCGAATCCTCAAAGCCTGGAGGCAACTCCTCTCTGCACAGGGAATAGAGGTGAGTGAGGAGTCCCATTTCCTGTGATCCCCCACAGACTTTAGTGCATGGAAGTCTAAAAAAATGGAAGGAAGACTGTCTCTCACAATAGTCCTAATCAGTTTTAGCACCGTTCATACCTTTTAGTTGCATAGTAAATAGCATTTCATAAATATTCATGAGTTTGCCGAATTTAACCAGGGGAAAAGCAAGAACTCTTAACAGTATGTGGTCTTGGGTGTAATTTATGCCCAAGTATCTCTGGCATATAAAAGCGGGGACTCTTATTCCGAGAGGTCTGTTTACTTGGTCGTTAGCAAGGGTGAAGGAGACACTTGCTGAAATTAGTTTTCCTTCTCTCAGAATCCTAATTTGTGTTATTTATAGTAGCCAGAAAGCAACAGAGAAGCAGCCCTAATCTTGTGATGATACGGAGGGAGGGGAAAACAAGACCAGAGAATTGTAGGTCTTGGGCCTGTTCACACAGGAGCCTAACTTCGAAATACAATTGACTACATGCAAAGACCAAGTTACCATTGTTTCCGTAAAGATCTGTTTTAAGTGCAGTCTAATGGTTTGTATAAAGCATCTTCACTTTTTCCCACTCAGACACTGAGCTAGAGGAAAGAAAGAACACAACACTACAAAAGTTAGTTAAACCAGCAATTTGAAAAGTAGAAAATTCCAGAATCATGCATTTCTCATTTTGAAATAAAAAATTATTTGGTTCTATAACATACGTAAGCAATACATAAAAGAGTGTTTATCTCGGAGTTAGAAGATGCTTGTAATGATAAGATGCTCCTGCTTTTTTCGAGATGGGACCAAGATGGGCCTAAGAGGGTGGGTGCACCAACTGTAATTTCTTGTCTATGCTTATTATTCACCAAATATATGTATTTTTTCTGCGTGCATGGTTCTATAATCAGGGAAGGAGAGAACATTTGTCAAGCCAGGTGTTCGCCATAAACGATCTCATTAAATATATTTCACACTTTCAGTCAGGCCCTATTATTATTCCCGGGTTTGGAGGAAGATCTGAAGTTTTGGAAGTTGCACAGCTTGCGTAGACACACAGTGGTGGAGCTGGGAGTCAAATCCTGGTATGTTGCTCCCAGAGCTGAAATTCTTCTGTATTCTAGACTGCCTTCCATATAAGACTAGAAAAGATGTCCCTGCCTTTGAGGAGGTGGTAGGGAAGCTACAAGCCCGAGCACAGGAAAAGTAAAGGCCTATAATTTACTTGTGGGTTTACCTGTGACTGGATAACAAGCGGGCCAAAGAAAGCAGCCACCTGTAATTTTAGAATCCCTCGGGAAGGGGCCCTATTAACAGGGCATACAATTCTGTCAATCCAGTATGATTGGGTGCAGTGTCTTCGAAGGGCAAGGCCAAATTGCATTGCTTACAATTTCACGCCTCAGTGTTTTACTCTGGTTTTGCCTGGAGGCTTCTTCCGCTACAGGGGTTACCTCCTCCAGGAAGCCTGCTTTGATTCCTTCTAGCTCTTCCATGTGTGAATTATGGCCTTGTTTGTGTCACGGCTTACCTTATGTCTTCATTTATTGCTGCCCCTGTGGCGGTGTGGAATTGGGTATTTTTCACAAGTCTCTCTTGAGCTCCTATGAGCTCTCTGCCTGTGAGCTCTGTATTCATCTCTGCATTGGCTGCACCCAGCATGGGACATGGTACGTGGGAATTCAACACGTTTGCTAATGGATGGATGGGAGAAAGGAAGAGAAAGAAAAGGAAGGAAGGGAAGGAGGGAGAAAGAGAGAAAGAAAGGGAAGGAATGAAGGAAAGGAAGGAAAAGAAAGACAAGGAAGAAAAGGGAAAGAAAGACAGGAAGAAAGGAAGCAAAAGAAAGAACGAATGAATTTGGAAATTGTTCTTGTAGCAAGACAGATGAAGATGAGGTCTTTCTCAGACTGGCTTCCCTTTCTTCAGGCCTAATTTTACTCCATGTCATAAAAGAATACATGGACAACTTTGTGCTTCTTCGGGTTTTCAGAACATACTACCTGGATAGGTTCCATCTGATCTTATGCTTGGCTTAAATATTAAACTTAATTACTTAGGCTATTCTAAGGAAAGCACTCAGCTGTCAAGGTGGCTCTTGATATACACGAGTTTTCAATTTAAAGCAATCTACAGTCATTAACTCTCCTTGCCTCCCCATAACTTTCATCAGGTTGAAGAGCAGACAGTGACATTTTAAATGGAAAAGAGAAGGGGTAGGAATGAGAAAGGGGCAGGAGGGTGTTGGGATGTGGGCTAGCTGTCAAGAGCAGAAAATACTGCATTAAAACTGCCCTCCCCCACTGCCCTAACCATTCCCTTTGAGTTTTTAATATGAATTAAAGATAAACTGGTCAGAAAAAACTGACTGGCATTGAAGCTTCTCAATGTGACTTGTGGGATTCCCTTTGGCTTTCAATGTATAGTTGACTAACCCTTCCCTTTCCCTTTCCAAGAAGTTAACAGAGGAAAGAATGGATCTGCTGTGAGAGAACTCCATTTTCTCAATAAATATTAATAGGTAAACACATATTAATATATCATATATGCATTTTGGTGGTCCTTGGGAATCAAGTCTGGGTCCCTGGCCAGGGATGGGGAGCCCAGGCTGGAGGCCAGTCAGTCCACTGTCCTCCTCTGTGCCCCGGGACCCATATCTTCAATTAGTTAGGCCAGGAATCCTCTTAAACAATCCTACTTGAGAATCACAGCATCTCTTTGCTGGCCATGGTACATGGTCCTTTATTTTAAGGCAAAGAAACAAGTTTACAGAAGTGAAGTGATTTGTCAAAGGTCATGGAACTGGTTCGCAGCAGTGTCAGGACAAATATGATTAACACTATCCATTCAGCACCTACTGTGTGTCAGCACTTTGATGTATGTGATCTCTATTCTTTATACCAAGCCAGAAACATAAAATATCTCAGTTTTGCAGTGTAGGGAAGTCAGGGAGGTTAAGCAATTTGTGTTCATGACATTTTGATGTGGATGTTTTGATACCATGGTTACTTTTACTTTTGCACCTATACCATGCTCCTTAAAAACAACCATTTAAACTTCCATTTTTGAAACTACCTCATAACGAGGTTAATAGACATCTTCACTCCATCCGTGCCCTATGGATCCATCTTTTAGTGGGTGAAGGTAAAGGCTGGGGGAGGATAGGAAAGGTCAAGAATGGACTGAAGGTCAGATGGAGGCTGGTGGTTTCAGGAATAGGGTGAAGCAAAAGATGGGGAAAGTTCAGATATGGGGTACTGTTTCCTGCTGCGCACTTCCCCTGATAATAAAATCACTGGAGAGTTTAATGATTTACTTTTGGACTGTTTCAAAATATGCTTCTCCTTTTCCCTATCCCATGCAATCAAGGTCTCTGGGTTCCAAGGTTAGAGCTTTCACTCTAATGTTTGGTTTCTTGCTTAGTATGTGTTTCCCTCAGTACTCAATAACAACGGAGGAGATCCCTGGATTCAGCAAGAAAATCTTGTAACAATCAAGTAAGATACGCATTAAACTGAGGCTCAGAGAGGTTAGGTAATTTTCTCAAGGACATAGAACTGCCTCCTCCTAGTGATGGGAGAGCCAGGGTGGTCTGACTCCCAAGACCAGGGTCATTTAAGTGGACTTGATTGTACTTCTCTCTCCTTCCCAACAAGTGCAAGGGCATGGTCTCTCTCCCCGCAGGCTGGACCCCTGTCTGGAAGTGCAGAGGCTGCACACTCTCAGACAGTTGGGTTGCGGCCACTTTTCTGTGGCTGACCCCATCCCACATTCATCTGCCATGAGGGACAGTGCTGGACATTCTTCTGCCCTTCCAGATCGACTCTCCATCTTTCTTCCTCCTGCTTTGTGCCCTGGGAAGCGGACCTCTCTGCACCATATCGACAGGCTCCCTGGACCTGAGGTAGAAGATGCAAGGGTAGGAGGAGACCAAACTCAGGTATTTATTCCCTGGGTGTCTTCCAGGCAGGTCACTGTCGGATGGCTGTACCCCTGGTCAAATGGCCAAGGCTCTTAGAAAGCCCTCTCCTATTTCTCCCTGGGTTCTAAAAATAGGTCTCTTAATTCTTCCCTTTGAACCTAGATGTGGTAATGGCTCCCTCACTTCACCTGCCCTGGGAGACTGTAGTATCTTAACTGGTTTCCTTAAATCATACTTTTGCAAACAGTTTCTTTAAAATTCTCCTTTGATCATTGGAGTGTTCTATCTGCTCCCCACCAAGACCACTGTTTCCTCTTTCTTCCTGACTAGTTCCATTTGGTAAAAAGTGCATTATTCAAACTATCATTTAAAGGAGGCTTGCAAAAAGAAAGAAGTTATCATCTGGATATTTTAGTAATCCCTTGAAGAATTTTAGAGGTTGCTAAACTGTGGTCGGCTGCCTTGCTTTCCTGGTTTGCAAATAACCGATGTCACAAAACTCTTGCTCTGGAGCTCTTAAATTCACTTGGGGAGTTGAAAAAAATTACATTTTTTTTTTTTTTTTTTTTTTTTGCTGAGTCAAAAGAAAACAAAGGAAATTTATACCCTGTTTCCCTAATGGCACTGATTGACAATGAGTTCACTGTGGGCAGAGGCACAGGTGTGCAGGGAGGAATGTGGGGAAACATCTGAGGTCAATTTAAAATTCCTCTTTGAAAATTGCCAGAGTCTGGTCGGCAGAATTGGACCTGCAATTTCCTAAGTGACTCTGGAGAGCAGATAAAGCCCTGGAATTCAGGAAAAAAAAAAAAGTGAGTTTATCTTCCAGAGAAACTGTGGCTAGATAGCTCTGGGGCTACAAAGAGATGGAAGGTGAATAGGTCAAGGTTCTCACATTGGGCCAAGTATTAATGTCCAACTGCTAGAAATGGGGGAAAAAGGCACCTAGTAATTCTATTACTAGGTCACCATATAATTTGTTGTCTAAACTAGAATTTTTTTCAGAGTGAAAGAGAGTGTTTAATTGCTCTATAGCAACAGACTTACACAGGAACTGTAACTAGCAAAATGGTATGTAAGGTAAAAAGTAAACCGAAAAATGGAATCCTCAGGTGTCAGGGGCACCTGTTGGGAGGGGAACCATCCGGAGTATATACCCGGTTCTTCCACACTGTGCCTTGCACTCCACCCCGTGAGCAGGGAGAAGGAGGAGGGCCGTGTGTATGAGACCATCATTTTATTTACTTCACACAAGAGCCACTGATGAGATGAAGAAGCTAAAGCTGAGCTGGATTAAGGCACTCGCCAAAAGTAAGTTGGTGGTTGAAGTAGGCTTCAAGGATGGCTTGTCTGATTTCAAAGCTAATCCTGGTTCCCCACACTAACAGAGCCCGGCAGTGTATGACATTTGAAGCAAAAGGGATGGCAAGCGAAGCATTAATAATTACGCTTTCTCCTTCTGACCTTTTCTGGGAGAAAGTTAAGAAAAAAATAGCCGTTTGAGACTTAGTGTATTGAGCAATGGGAAATCCAGCAGGCAGAGGCTGTTTGCGCAGAGAAGACCAAGCTCAGTCAATGAACTGAAGATTGGTTTCATTTAATTACGTTCTATCTTTAGGTTCTGTGAGGACAATCCTGAAATTCTGTCTTAGGTTGTTCAAAACAAAAATGTCACACAAGAATATGCATTGCTGTTTAAATGTACCCAGGTAAGCATCATTACAAAATAGTTTCCTGTTCCATAGACCAGGATACACCATACAGCCGACCACCATCCCTGAGAAAGAAGAGCTCTGTGTGTGTGTGGCCCTCCTATCTCTACACACACTGATGTTACCAGAACTCTGTTATTTCTGTCCCTGGAGTTCCAGTAAGGACACAACTTTCCTCCCTTCTTCTCATTCCTAGTTCTCTTTCAAATTTAGCTGACCTGGAATGTGGGCCCAACATTGCCTGGACAAGCACAACTTGATCCTGATATTAGCCTTTTATTCAATGCTTCCAGCTGACTACATCTAGAATTTCCCAACTGCCGTTCCCCTGAATTTGGCCTGTTAAAAACTGCAATGGAAAAAATTTTGCTGTATTTTAGATGCATCATCTCAACAGTTTATGGCTTTCACTTGTTTTTCAAAACATCTTTTTTTTTGGTCTATACTTGATTTTGTTTGAAATTGCTGATAAATCCATATAGCCCTGTAACATATATGGTGAAACTTCATAATCCTTAAGAACATGGGTAACTGTGTGGTTATCATATGTAGGAATATGCTCAATATTTGAAAAGCACTATCGAACTTCATTTTTACCACAATCCTATAAAGTATATATGACTATCTCCCCAGTTTGTAGAAGCTGAGCCTCAAAATGCTCAAATAATATGTCCTGGTATCACAGCTGGTAGAGCTGGGATTCAAATATAGAACTGTCTTCAAAGTCCATGTTTCTAGCCATCATACTATATTGTATAGAATACTGAATATTCATATTTTAGGATAATATTAAGGGAAGCCAGAATCACTGTATCAAAGCTGGGAGGACTTGCTTTGCAGACGATTAAATCAAAATACCTCATTGTGCAGATGGCTAGTGGTAGGTGGGATGAGAGAAGAAGCAGCTTTCAAAGTCTGCAGAGTGAGAGTAGAAGTGGTTGGATTCTTATTCAACATGTATTCTTCTGTCTCCCCCTTCCTAAGGGAACCCTGCTTTTGTTTAGGCCTTCACGCTTCGTGATTTGACCCTGTGTTTCAAGGGAGGCTGTGCAATTGCCAATGCTGGGGAATGAATCATGATTGGCCTAATCCATCATGGTGAACCCATTCCCTCACCAATGATAGGCTTAGACATAGGCAGAAGATATAATTTTGGCCAATGAAATATGAGGAAATCTAATGGAGGGTTTCTGGTAATATTTCTTTACTTTGAAAAGAGCCATAGAAAGACACCTGAAGATATCCTAATGTAGGCAGAGGAAGAATTAGTACTTCTATTATTTACTATTCACCATGCTGTGCTTCCATAAATGACCTCTTATTCTTAGAACAAAATGGGATGGCAGGTTTTATCATACCCATTCATAGATGAGGAGACTCAGACGTAAGAGCAGTTAAGTAATTCAGCTGTTAATAGTAGAGACAGGATTCAAATCCAGAAATGTATGGCTTCAAATGTATCTTGTTTTAGGTTAGTTACTTTTACTTTGGAATAAATTTGACATAGGTTTATGTTAATAATTGTGTTGGTAAGTCTCCAATAGTGTGTTCGCTTCTGTGTGTCCAGGTAGAGTTAGGTTCTGAGTCCGCAGAGCTGTCTGTCCTTAGGTCCTCCTCCACCTAGGAATCATATGGTCCCTTCAGCTGAAGTCTTGGTCAGATGATCCTCTGAAATGACAATAGCCTAGAGGCTTGTATGTGATAAGGGAGGTTAAAATCATTCAGTAATGCTGGCTTTGGGGACAGGATTGGGAGGCTCCTTTTCTCTTAATGATTTGCTCTCAAATTTTTTAAATTAAAAATCTTTTTTGTAAAGATAGAGTCACACTGCATTTCCCAGTCTGGTCTTGAACTCCTGGGCTCAAATGATCTGCCTGCCTTGGCCTCCCAAAGCACTGGAATTACAGGCATGAGCCACTGCACCCAGCCTTGTCTTGCTGTCAATTCTGAATCACTTGAAGATGTTGACTTGAGTCAGCTATGGTCACAACAAATGATAGAAAACACCAAGTGATTGTTATTTGGCACAGGTTAGGCAACTGGTTTGTTTCCTTCCTTGGTTGAATTAACTCAATTGACTGGTATAGGCCCAAGTTCATTTCTTTTAGGAAAAGACACGCAAATCTCTCTAAATAAAGATAAAAATGTCTACCTTACAGGGTCATAGTGAGAACTACGCTCTGGGTACAGTTTCTATTACATGGTAGGAAACAGACATGCTAGCTCCCTAAGTCCCCATTTTCCTCTATGCTTCCTTCAAATGTTTGATCAATATAAAAGTTATCCAGAGGAGAAATGTTTTTGCATCTTGTAAACATTGCTAACTCTCTTACTCAATGCCATTTTTCAAAAAGAATTATTTTAGAATCTAGAACTAAATATAGGTTAACTTCTTCTTTTTCCAATTAAAAAAATTTCCAACCCATCCTATGTTTCTTTTTGTCATGGCTTCCAGGATAATCAGAAGTAAATTTAATTACCAAGGGCATTGACCAGCTTGCATCCATCTATCTATCTATCTATCTATCTATCTATCTATCTATCTATCTATCTATCATCTATCTATCTACATTTTTATCCTTATCATCTAGATGTCTATCATCTATCTGTATTAGTTCCCTAGGGCTGATGTAACAAATGTAAAAAACAGATTTCAGTTGGGAGTTTATAATATAAAGGATTCAGCTGAGCAAGTGTCAGAGGATGGAGTATTTGAGGAAGAGGCTGGCTTAAAACAACAGAAATTTAGCCAGGCGCGGTGGCTCATGCCTGTAATCCCAGCACTTTGGGAGGCCGAGGCGGGCAGATCATGAACTCAGGAGATCAAGACCATCCTGGCTAACATGGTTAAACCCTGTCTCCACTAAAAACACAAAAAATTAGCCACGTGTGGTAGTGGGCACCTGTAGTCCCAGCTACTCGGGAGGCTGAGGCAGGAGAATGGTGTGAACCTGGGAGGTGGAGCTTGCAGTGAGCCTAGATCATGCCACTGCACTCCAGCCTGGGTTACAGTGTGAGAGTCTGTCTCAAAAAAAAAAAAAAAACCAACCAACCAAACAAAAAAACCAGAAATGTACTACCTCACAGCTTAGGAGGCCAAAAGTCTGAAATCAAGGTGTCAGCAGGGTTAGTTCCTCTGGAGGCTCTGAGGGACAACCTGTTTTATGCTTCTCTCCTAGCTTCTGAGGATTGCTGGCAATCTTTAGCATTTCCTTGGCTTGTAGCTGCATGCTCCAGTCTTTGCCTTTGTTGTCACGTGGACTTTTTCCCTGTATGTCTCTCCACAGGGTCTCCTTATAAGGATACCCATAATTGAATTTAGGGCCCACTTGACTACAGTATGGCCTCCTTTTAACTTCACTAACTACATTTTCAAAGACCCTATTTCCAAATAAGGTCACATTCTGAAGTTCTAGGTAGACATTAATTTTGGGGGTACGCTATTTGTCCCAGTACACTACCAATTTCACACCCGATGTATGCTTTTGCCTTCTGCTCCCCAATGTTTTCTCAGGTATGCTGTTCAATTTCTCTAATTGTTTATTCCACAATCACTTACTGAGTGCTGCTATATATGAGACATTGACAATACAATTGTAAACAAAATCTTTGTCCCTCACCAAGCTCTCACAGTTTAATGAAGGGACACACTAAAACAAAAACTCAATTGAGTATATGTTTAGAAATAGTATGATTTATAAATTATGACAAGTGCTATGACATAATGTGAGATATATGAGATTATGAAGGGAGATATGATTCATATTGGTCTGGGATTATCAGAGTCTGAAGAAGGGAGATCTCAGCTGGAAGTTTATAATATAAAGGATTCAGCTGAGCAAGTGTCAGAGGATGGAGTATTTGAGGAAGAGGAGGCAACAGCCTGTGCAGGGAAGCCAAGAGGAAAGTGGCTGGGATGAGGCTGGGAGGTGGGCAGGGCCAGGTCCCACAGGGCATTGTGGGCTATGCCAATGTTTCAGATTTTTGTCCCATTAACATGGGAGGCCACTGCAGGCTTCTAAGCAGAAGAATGATCTGCCACATGGAAAACAAATTTGAGGAGGCAGGAGTGATAGCAGAGAACTAGTTAGGAGACTTTTATAGTGGTCCAGGTGAAGAATGATGGCTTGGACTCGAGTGACAACAGTGGAGATGACAATAAATGGGCATATTCGAGGCATATTTTATAGAAGGAAAAGACATGGCTTGTTGATGAATGTGGAAGATGAGATGTGGGAGGCATTAAGGATCCTTGCCAGTTTCCAGAATGAGTAACTAGATGGCCAGAGGAGCCATTACCAAGATGTGAGGCACAGGAGGAAAAATAGATTTAGGAGGGAAGATCAAGGTTCAGCTTTTGACAACTTAAATTTCAGATGCCTGGAGAATATTCAAGTGGAGATGTCAAATAGGAAGGTGGATACATGGCCTGGAGCTCAGAAGAAGGGTCTGTGTTGAAATACAACTTTGGGAGTTCTTGGCAAATAGAGACTACTTGAAACCATTATTATTCACTTTAGGTGGGTTTGTTTTTTTTTTAAATTGTCAGGCTGACCTTGTTCAGGTATATTTGGCTCCTCTTTTAAATATCTGAGCCTGTGACTCTGGTTATACCTTCCAGTCTCCAATTTTAATCATCCAATTTCTGCCTTATTTTATAGGTTTCTTTCTAATTACATTGTAAAGTCAGTGTACTGCAATAGAAAGAGATTCTGATTATTTGTGTGCCTTAGGGAAACCACTGATTATCTCTGGGTATTCTTTTCCTAACTATAAAAGAAGGGAATTGATTGTTTTCAGTTTCAAAAATCCATGACTCTGTAATCTAAGAAGTACTCGCTAAGGTATGTCTATTTTTCTACATCCACAAAGGCTTTATCTTTAGGTGGTAACCACTGGTAAGTTAGCAATGTTTTGATTAGATTTTGCAGGATATTTTGAAGTACACATCATGTCCATCAATTAACGATTAAATCAAACACTGTTCATGTCAATCTCAGATACTATTGCTGTAATTCAGAACAGCATTTCTTCTGCACTTGTGGATAGAGGTTATGGGGAAAAGTAGAAATTTAGATATTTACTCATCAAAATAGCATCACATTTAAATCTAAGACAAACCCACATCCCTGTAAATTCCTATAGGAATGGACGCTTTTTGGACAAAGTAAAAAATAATCCAAATATTATGCAAGAGTCTAGTAAATGCAATAACCTAGATGATGAGGCACAAGTAATAGCATTTCCTTATGTTCTCTGAGGTACAGCTATACAACGTGTCACCATTTTCAACAGTCTTTCCATACCTCCGTGACAGCAAAACTTCTCTTGCCACAGGGAACCACCCTGTACCACTTGTCATGGAGCATATCCATAAACCCATGTGACTTGTATTGACTGATTAGCTCGGATATGTTGGCGGTCAATGGAGAGTTGGGTGGGAGGCCAATGCCGTATCCTAGAAGAAAATACAATCTCAGATGAGTTTTTTACACCCTTCCTGAGAGATTGCCACCACAGTACATATTTGTGTGATACTGCCATCAGACCAAAAAAAGGGCGTGATGAGTTTTCATCAACTTTCTTTCAAAGCACTCAAAGACATTCCTAGTCATGATTACCCTTAAATCAGCTGCATCTCTGAGTAGATGAATTGAGTTGGAAAAGGAGAGGAATGGGCTGTGCACAGTGCATTAGTGAAAAATTTTAAGATCTTCTGCCTTTCCCATTAAGACATTCCTTAGAGGCAATCTTTGAGGTCTTTATCAGGGCTAGGATTTCCTATCTACCTCTTCCAGAACCCCTCTTCTGAACCTTAAATATACAAAATCAGATTAATCTTAGTCTGTGGTTGATGACATTCTCTTATCGGTGTTAATGCATGACCCTCTCTTACTTTTTAAATTTATTTTTAATTTTTGAATAATATAATAAAACCATGTGAATAAACAATACAGTATGAGAACTAAAATATAAACAGGAACTTATAAAAATCAACTTAAATTGTCCAAAAATAAATAAATAAGAAGTAATACTAAGTGTTAAAGAAGATGAGGATCAATAAGATTATTTATATATTGCTTGCTGTAATATAAACTGAAAATTGATACAAACATTTTGGAAAGCAGTTTGGTATTATTTTATATGGTTGAATATTGACATATTTTAAGACCAGCAATTCTGTTCCTGAGTCCATTCCCAAAGATCTCCGCCACAAGCATATCAGGAGATACGTACAAAAATGTTCTTAGAGGAACTGTTCATAATAGCAAAAATTGGAAACAACCCAAATGTTCTTTGACAAGAGAATGAGTAATGAAACTGTGGACTATTTGCACAGATGGAATATTACATAATCAAAACTATATGAACTAGAACTAGAGGCAACAATATGGATGATCCTTAGTAATATGCCATTGAATGAAAAAGGTCAGTGTCAGAAGATTACTTGCAGCATGAATTCATTGTGTAAATATTAAAACATTCAAAACCAAACAATATAGTTTTAGGAATACATATATATGCATATATATGTGATACTTTTTTTTTTTTTTTTTTTTTTTTTTTGGAGACAGGGTCTTGCTCTGTTGCCCAGGCTGGAGTGCCATGGTGCCATCATGGCTCACTGCAACCTTGACCTCCTGGGCTCAAGTGATCCTCCCGGCTCAGCCCCCCAAGTAGCTGGAACCACAGGCACACACCACCACCCTGGCTAATTTTTGTATTTTTTGTTGAGATAGGGTCTCACCGTGTTGCCCAGGCTGGTCTTGAACTCCTGGAGTCAACCAGTCCACTCACCTCAGCCTCTCAAAGTGATGGGATTACAGGTATGAGCCACGTGCCCAGCCTGTGATAATACTTATTATTTTTAACAAAACCAAGGATAAAATAAATGAAAGGGTGGTGGTAATGCAGGGCAAGGGAGGCAGGGGAAGGAATGAGGGAGGAACATAAAAATGGAGTTAATTTGTTGTCAGAGTTTTATTAGTCAGCTTAGACTCTGTATCCTCACACTGTGTGGCTTTACTTGCTTTCCAAAATGTTACTATACTGTTAATCTCTTTGCTCAGCCATGTCAAAGAAGCTAATTAGCTACATTTTGTTTTAGCTATTGGACAGAATAGTAAAAAAAAAAACCCAAACCCTTTTTTTTTTTGCCTTCAACATGATTGAGGAAGAGTGATTAAAAATATAGTTCATTTTTCATGGATAAAGACTAAAAGATTGTCAAGCATCCAAAGATACTTAATGGAAACAAATACCTCCTATAATTATTCTAGCTTACAATTCAATTTCAAGAGCACTGATTTTTGTTCCTTTTTTTTTTTTTTTTTTTTGAGACAGAGTCTCGATCTCGGCTCACTGCAAGCTCCGCCTCCTGGGTTCACGCCATTCTCCCGCCTCAGCCTCTTGAGTGGCTGGGACTACAGGCGCCCGCCACCACACCCAGCTAATTTTTTGTATTTTTAGTAGAGATGGGGTTTCACCGTGTTAGCCAGATGGTCTCGATTTCCTGACCTCGTGATCCACCTGCCTCGGCCTCCCAAATTGCTGGGATTACAGGCATGAACCACTGCGCCCGGCCTATTTATTCAATCTTTAAGTCTCCAAGTGATACACATTCTGGCGTGGTTTCATGTAGGGATTCATGCAGAATAGTGCTTGGGGCACAGTAGAGCCCAGTATGTCCTAGTACTTATTATTAGAATCCAAGGATGATTTAACCAAGCTGTGTGCCACAATCTGTTGCTGTTGTTGAAAACTATTGACCCAGGGAGGAAAAACACATTGATATTCGGCAAACCTGGCTAATTATCCTAACCATCAACCCACTCCTACCAGATAGTAGCAAGTCCTCCTACACTTTGTTCTTATATGGCCCAGTTCTCCCTTATGGTGCCTATCTCAGTTGTAATGAAATAATAATTATGCTGTGTCTTGTTTAATATCTGTTTCCCCTGTAGAGTATACATTCCATTACAGCAGAGACCATATCCACCTTGGTCACTGCTAAGTCCTGACCACTTAACATGGTGCCTATTTACTCAGGGAATATTTGTTGCATGAATGAGTGAGTGAATGAATAAATGAATGTGTGAGTGAGTCAGTGAATCAGTGACTATTATACGCTTGTGCCTAGTATTGTGCATGATGTGCAAATAAGTCCTGAATAAGTGTTTGTGCAGTTGAATTGGCAACAGCATTCATTATGTTTCTAAAGAAAGCTGATTACTTCCTTCTAATAAATTACCCATTATATTTTAAAATGTTATTTAATAATAACATCAGCAGAATCAAAAGCTACCCATCCAAACTCTTTTGTTTTCAGTCCTGCCTTTCAAACCAAAACTTCTAGGCATAAAACAGGCACTCAAAATAGCTCTTTGAATGGAAAATTCTAATCATGCTTTTGACGTTGTCATCATTTTCTTGACTTCCTATTGTTAAGCAACAAATAATGTTATTAGAAAAAAATACAATCCATTAAAACTCAGTTTTTTATGCGTTATTTCATCTCTTTTATTGGTTATACACACATCTCAAGCCTTTTTCTTTTAAAGAAAAAGATTGTGTATCTGCATTAAAAAAGGTATTCTCACTTATAGGTGGGAGTTGAACAATGAGATCACATGGACACAGGAAGGGGAATATCACACTCTGGGGACTGTGGTGGGGTGGGGGGAGGGGGGAGGGATAGCATTGGGAGATATACCTAATGCTAGATGACGAGTTAGTGGGTGCAGTGCACCAGCACGGCACATGTATACATATGAAACTAACCTGCACAATGTGCACATGTACCCTAAAACTTAAAGTATAAAAAAAAAAAAAAAAAAAAGGAACAAAAGGGCCGGGCGCAGTGGCTCACGCCAGTAATCTCGGCACTTTGGGAGGCCAAGGTGGCCGGATCACGAGATCAGGAGATGGAGACCATCCTGACTAACACGGTGAAACCCCGTCTCTACTAAAAATACAAAAAATTAGCCGGGCGTGGTGGCGGGCGCCTGTAGTCGCAGCTACTCGGGAGGCTGAGGCAGGAGAATGGCGTGAACCCGGGAAGCGGAGCTTGCAGTGAGCCGAGATTGCGCCACTGCAGTCCGCAGTCCGGCATGGGCGACAGAGCGAGACTCCGTCTAAAAAAAAAAAAAAAAAAAAAGAAAATTCAAAGGAACAAGAGATTGGTACCAGAGGAGAGGATGAAAGATGGCATCTTGAATTGGTTCTTGATTGTGATATTTTTGGTAGATAAGACAAAAGTATATGATAAGAAAGTTTTAAATTCTTAACTTCATACTTATGATAAATCTACATATTCTAAGAATAGAATTTTGGCACTACAACAAAAGTGTTAAGATTCCCTAATGAAAAAGCTATGTTGAAGTTTCAGAGACATTTATAAAAAATGTTACACAAGAAATAATAAATATTAAATCACTCCACTCGATCATGTCTAGGTTAATTTGCAGTTGCTAAAAACAGATTACTATCCCTTTAAAATTTCTGTTTAAATACATGTATTGAATATTGATATTTTATTTTATTTTATTTTATTTATTTATTTTGTGTGTGTGTGTGTGTTTTTCTTTTATTATTATACTTAAAGTTTTAGGGTACATGTGCACATTGTGCAGGTTAGTTACATATGTAGACATGTGCCACGCTGGTGCGCTGCACCCACTACTCGTCATCTAGCATTAGGTATATCTCCCAATGTTATCCCTCCCCCCTCCCCCAACCCCACAACAGTCCCCAGAGTGTGATGTTCCCCTTCCTGTGTCCATGTGATCTCATTGTTCAATTCCCACCTATGAGTGAGAATATGCGGTGTTTGGTTTTTTGTTCTTGCAATAGTTTACTGAGAATGATGATTTCCAATTTCATCCATGTCCCTACAAAGGACATGAACTCATCATTTTTTATGGCTGCATAGTATTCCATGGTGTATATGTGCCACATTTAAATCAATTCAAGATGGATTAAAGACTTAAACATTAGACCTAAAACCATAAAAACCCTAGAAGAAAACCTAGGCAATACCATTCAGGACATAGGCATGGGCAAGGACTTCATGTCTAAAACACCAAAAGCAATGGCAACAAAAGACAAAATTGACAAATGGGATCTAATTAAACTAAAGAGCTTCTGTACAGCAAAAGAAACTACCATCAGAGTGACAGAGTGAACAGGCAACCTACAAAATGGGAGAAAATTTTTGCAACCTACTCATCTGACAAAGGGCTAATATCCAGCATCTACAATGAACTCAAACAAATTTACAAGAAAAAAACAAACAACCCCATCAAAAAGTGGGCAAAGGACATGAACAGACACTTCTGAAAAGAAGACATTTATGCAGCCAAAAAACACATGAAAAAATGCTCACCATCACTGGCCATCAGAGAAATGCAAATCAAAACCACAATGACATACCATCTCACACCAGTTAGAATGGCAATCATTAAAAAGTCAGGAAACAACAGGTGCTGGAGAGGATGTGGAGAAATAGGAACACTTTTATATTGATATTTTAATGATTTCTAGCAATAATAATCATTTTTAGCTAATGAAAACAAACTATGCATATGGAATGATGGGAAAAATAGGAAAATAAATTATGTGATGATGAGAAGACTTATTTGTTAAAAGAGATAAAAATCCATTTTATTCAAAAACATAAAATAAAACCTTGAGGGTTTTATTTCTGTCCCCATTTATAGTTGCTTTTCAAATTTGCTAGTGTTCATTGGTCAAAGAATTCTCATTTTTAAATTGCTGACTCAACTGAGCAGCCTGAGTTGCTTTCATTATTACTAGAAATGTGGCTTTGCAATAAAGACAGGGTTGACTATTTTGTGGTTGATGAATGAAGCAAAATGGAATCCTTCAACTCTAAAGATGAAGGCATCAGGCATCCTGGAAATTGGATACAGCTTAATGGCCCAAGAGAACAGTTTTCAGAATAGAATCCTGATCTTTTCACCATGGATAAATCAGCTTTATTAAGCTAAGAGTGGTGGAAATATATTTTAGCTAGCAAATGTATAGTTAGAAATTCATAGACTAAAAGAATCTTCCGAAATGTGGTTGGAAAAGAGATGTTTTGAAAATAGCATCTCAGATAGGGTTAAAAAGGCTTCAGGGTGAAAGATTTATTCAATTTTGCAGTCTGTCCTTGGAATACCATATTTAGCTACTCTGGGATAATGGTTGAGAACATATTGTAATGGTCCCAACTATAAAGGTACTATAAAATGGGTTTCCCTTAGCCTCAGCATATCAAAGTGGGGAGAGAAATGTGTGGGAGAAGTTGAGACTTAGGAAGACTATCCTGGAAGAATTTTACAGTTAATTGGTCTCAATGCATTAATCAATATACTATATAATAATAATTTGTTGAGCACTTCTTATGTGCCAAACAAGTTCCTACAGTACATGCTTTATATGTATTACTTAATCCTCACAACAATTCTATCATAAATTTCCTATTCATCTCCCCATTATGCAGGTGAGGAACCTGAAGAGTAGATTAGATAACTTGCCAGTTAATAACAGCAATTTTATCCTAACCCAAGTACTCAGACTCCAGAGCCAGTGTTCCAAGCATTGCATTAAATAATTATTGGAAAGCAAGTAAAAGAACAAACTCATAAACAGGCAAAGGTCTTTGGCAGAAAGATCACACATCATTATTGTGCAGTTACGTTACTCTTTCTCCTTGTTTGAGCTTTATTGTCAGCTAACTCCAATGCACAAATTGGAGACACGTATTCATTTATCTCAACACTTTTTTTTCTCCCCTGCACACAATATGTATTTGTGCCCCTGGTTTATGGTTTTTAATTCGACCAAAGACTTTCCACATGCTTTCGCATCCTTAATAGTTTTGGTTTGCTTTGCTATATACTGCGTACCGATGAGTACTCATGAAAGGGTTTCAAACTCAGTGTGGAGCCACTGTCCCTTATTTGCCTTATTTTTCCCTTTTAAGTCAAAATAAATGCAGAATGGTGAAGTTTGGAGGGATAGTTAATAGTTATCTTAGTCTGCTCAGGCTTCTATAACAAAATATCATAGACTGGGAGACTTAAAAACAAAAGAAATTGGTTTCTTATAGGTCTGGAGGCTGGGAAGTCCAAGATCAGGGCAATGGTAGATTTGGTGCCTGGTGAGGGCCTGCTTTCTGGTTCATAGATGGTGCCATGTAGCTAGGTCCTCACATGCTGAAAAGGGTGAATGAGCTTCGTTGAGCCTATTTCGTAGGGGCACTAATTCCATTTTATTAGGGTGGAAACTTCATGACCTAATACCATCACCCTGGGGATTAGGTTTCAACATATGAATCTGGGGGGAGGCACAAACATTCAGACCACAGCAGTAGTTACACTGAGTGTCACACATAGAGTACTGAGTGTGTTACTACTATATGCAGTGACAGTACATTCAGCATGAAGGAATCATTGCACTCTGTTTTCTCTCCTAAGTACATTTAAACATTTGGGAAAGTATAAGTACAAGCTATTAACTACCTAAGTGAGTGAATTAGGTACCTATTTCAAACCTAATTAGTTATTTAATAGGTAATACATCACTTATTACATTAATGTTATATGCCTAGCATTGTACTAGGCCCTGTGAAAGGTTATGGGTAGGCATATAAAACATTCCTGTAAACTAAATGACCAAGTATTGCTCATACACCGCTTTGATGATTTTTTATACCTATACAGTCTAACTTAATAATAAAGCTCACATTTTAAAAAGTTCAAGAAACTTAAATGTTGTCAAAGGATAGCATATATTTTTAACAATTTGAGAGAAATATTTTCTCAAAAATTCATGAAATTATTTCTCTCAATTAAATTGTTAAAAATATATGCTATCCTCTAATAACATTTAAGTTTCTTGAACTTATTAAAATGTGAGCTTTATTATTTAGACTGTAGGTGGCTCACGCCTGTAATCCCAGCACTTTGGGAGGCCGAGGTGGGAGGATCACTTGAGGCCAGGAGTTTGAGACCAGCCTGGCCAACATGGTGAAATCCTGTCTCTACTAAAACTACAAAAATTAGCGGGGTGTGGTGGTGGGCACCTGTAATCCCAGCTACCCGGGAGGCTGAGGCATGAGAATCGCTTGAACCTGGGAGGCAGAGGTTGCAGTGAGCTGAGATTGAGCCACTGCACTCCAGCCTGGATGATAGAGTGAGACTCAGTCTCAAAAAAAAAAAAAACAATTTGTGAAATTCATATTTTTAAGAAAAGTAGCAATCAAGACTTTGACTAGTATTTCTACCACATTGTTTCGTGTAATTTATACGTATCCTTTTGTATTTTACTGAGTTATGTTTTTGGGGTATGAACTTATTGTCAGAAGTAGAATTGAATTAATTTTCTGATGTGTACCCCATCCATTTGGAGAATAACCTCACAATGATAACAATATTCTCTCAATTAAAACCTGCAGTATTTCTACTCTCTTGCAGGGAGGGCTTTTCCATGCACCATTTTGTGCTCATCTCCTTTGAAAACAATGTGATGTCTAGAGATGTTGGGAACTGCAAGACACTAAGTCTCAGGAACACAGATGGAAATGTAAACAGGAAACCAGTGGGGAGTTAATTGCGTGGCATCTGGCACTAGGGTCCAGCAGAGGCAAACAAGCCATCCTACCACTGTCTTTTGACAAGATAGAGTTGTCCCCTGAAGATAAAGGTGGAAAATGGAGCCCCTCATTCTTGTGTCCTCTACCCATGATTCATTGTTAGTAGCTCCTAATGGCAGAAGGGATCTCAGTTACCCAGTGCATCTAGGACAGAAATAAAATGTAACATCCCCAGATGCCACAAAAAAGGAGAAATTTTTCATTGTTACATTAAAATGGGATTATATACTGAATGTTGTTTATTTTTCTAGCTTTTTCTTTTTCTCCCTTTGCTATCTAAGACGGTAGTCTTAATAGAAGACCACTACTGCTAATTGCCTCTCTTTCTGAGTTCCATCCCTGCTTCAGGTGGGGGTGACTTTGCCTGGAGAGGGGACTGATTTCTGCTAGGAGAAGATGTGGAGAAATAGCATCAGCTGTAACATTCTCATTTATCATGAAAACAAAGACAGAGGTAAACATTTTAATCTGCTGATATATTTAGAGGAGACAGAGACTAACTGTGGTTGGGAAATTGAAATCAGAATAGTCTTGATATCCTAGTTAACATACAGGAAAGTTCAGATTTCTGGAAATAGCAGTTGGGCACCCCCACGGGATTGTTTTAAGCCAAAGTGTTTTCTGTCAAGTGAGCATGGCTGTCTCGAGAGCCAGCATGCACTATCAGGAAGGGAAGCTGGGAATTGGGAGAAGTGAAATTTGCTGGTTCAAACTATCAGCTCCATATATCAACCGTCATTCAGAATGAAAGGAGCTACCGACAAAGCAATCTTTCTTTGGTTCTGAAGTTTGATTGATTGGGAGATCACATTAGAAGGAAAAATTTGCTGCCAGTGGAGAAAAAGACCTGAGATCCCAAACAAGGATCCCAAGGTTTTGTTTGGGACCTTAAAGGGCATTAAACTATAGAATGAGTTTTTTTTTCTACTTATTTTCCAACCAGTGGAATAATACTTATTTAAGAACCAGGAGCTTTAGATTTCAGTCCCAGTATTATCATCTAATTGTACAATTATGAAAATGTTATGTAATGTCCCTGGGCTTTCTTGTTTATCAAATGAGTAGATTGCATTAGATCAATATTGGGGCCCTCCCAGTTGTAAAATGTAATCATTCTAGTTTTTCTGTCAGATTTGCTAGAGTATTTGGCTGTTAGAAAATACAGATTTCCCTGAATTTTGGAAGGCTGAGGCAGGAGGATCACTTGAGGCCAGGAGTTGGAGACAAGCTTGGGCAACATAGCACATAGCAACACCCTGCCACTAAACACACACACACACACACACACACACAATACAGATTAAATTAAAATTTATTACACTGTGCCACCACTCCCAGATATCTGAAACAACATCATATGGGTAACAATGATTTTTCCCCCTAAAAATTGGATAAGTAAATATTTGTTGAATAGGTGAAAAATAAATTCCTAACTTCAGCAACTTAATAGCTAAGTGCTTATGAGTTGAAAATGAAAACGAGGGAAGATGAATAGCTCTTTGCTTCTGACTTTGGCATTTGTGACTTTCTAGGTTGGCAAACTGAGCACATCCTGAGTAAAAGTGAATCAAGAGTGACTGATTAATACCTTCTATGGCAAATGGCTTCCCCACAGTGAGAAGTTTGCAGTCAGCATCTATTGACACTTCATAATCCAGAAGGGCTTTGTCCATGATGAAGGCGTCTAGTTTCTCTGGATCATTCCTATATTTAAGACCAGAGGAGAAAAGTGAAAATGATTCATTAATGGGAAGGAAGCATGAAGGCTGACAGCCGGCTTTTGTTTAGGGGACAGAACCCGAACACTAAGGGCCGCACAAGCTACCTAGGTGCTGACTTAGCTGTCTTGGCTTCTCACTGATGTCTAGACTACAGACCAGGGGAGACAGGCACTCTTATAAGACAGCATGACATCTTTCCAATGAGTTTATCTACCAGCTCCTTTAATTACTTCTAAATCCATCAGTAAAGCCAGAGCCACTCTGAATTGAATAGGAAGCGCATAGAGAATGTTTATTCTTATTACACTGTTAGAGGGACTTCTTGTTGTTAGGCATTGCATTCATTGTTCTCTATACCTTTTATCACTCAGAATGACTGTGATATAACAGATGAGGAAATTGAGGCTCAGAGGATTGAAGTAACTTAAACCAGGTTACACAGCTAGTAAGTGTTGGGACTAGGTTCAGATGAAGGGTGAGTCTCAGCATAGGCTGAGCTTCCACCTACAAAGAGGGCAAGGAAGGAGAAGTTTTAAAAGGAAATAACTGTCTAAAATACATGCAACGATTTCTTTGTTTTCAGCCACTTCCAATTCTTTTTGGAAAGGTGAAAGACATACATCCATTTAAGAAAGGATTTTCTATGAGGAACAGTTTCAGAAAAGCTCTTAGTCTAATTTGCTTTTATTGTGACTATGTCCTGAGCCCATCCCTGGATATTGTTACCATGGAAATGGACTATCATTCCTTTTTTAAAAATTTTTTTTATTTTTTTATTTTATTATTATTATACTTTAAGTTTTAGGGTACATGTGCACAATGTGCAGGTTAGTTACATATGTATACATGTGCCATGCTGGTGTGCTGCACCCATTAACTCGTCATTTAGCATTAGGTATATCTCCTAATGCTATCCTTCCCCCCTCCCCCCACCCCACAACAGTCCCCAGAGTGTGATGTTCCCCTTCCTGTGTCCATGTGTTCTCATTGTTCAGTTCCCACCTATGAGTGAGAAGATGTGGTGTTTGGTTTTTTGTCCTTGCGATAGTTTACTGAGAATGATGATTTCCAATTTCATCCATGTCCCTACAGAGGACATGAACTCATCATTTTTTATGGCTGCATAGTATTCCATGGTGTATATGTGCCACATTTTCTTAATCCAGTCTATCGTTGTTGGACATTTGGGTTGGTTCCAAGTCTTTGCTATTGTGAATAGTGCCACAATAAACATACATGTGCATGTGTCTTTATAGCAGCATGATTTATAGTTCTTTGGGTATATACCCAGTAATGGGATGGCTGGGTCAAATGGTATTTCTAGTTCTAGATCCCTGAGGAATGGCCACACTGACTTCCACAATGGTTGGACTAGTAATGCAAATCAAAACCACAATGAGATACCATCTCACAGCAGTTAGAATGGCAATCATTAAAAAGTCTGGACTATCATTCTTATTGGCTAGGTGGTGTCACCTGGAGCCAGGGGTGGGGTTCACCTCATATAAATCAGTGAGAGTAGAAGAGGGATGAAGAAATGCAGGATGCTGTGACCAAAAAGAGGGAATGGATTCTGTGAAGACCAGAAAAGCAACCATTTTGTGCACTATATTATCTCCCCAGTTAAAGTGTAAGTTTCTTGGGAACCAGAACTCTGTATTACACTTCTTTCTATCTCATGCGATGACTACCTCAGTTCCTTTTTATTGTGTAGGTGTAGGTATTTATTTTTTAAAAATAAAAATATTTATTAATTTGAAAAAAAAGAAAGGATTTTCTACCCTTAGAGTTGTCCAAACAGCTTTGCAAAAAGAATAACTCTTTTCTATCCCTTCTGGGCTCAGTCCTTCCTCTCTTAGATCCAGTGGTGAGGCTGTTCTAATTTAACACAGTGTGGCTTCTAAACAGAGGAGAATATGACTAGAATTCATAGAAAATCAAAAAGAGAAAGATATCCCTAGACACCCAGAAGATTCATCAGGGCAGGAAACACATCCTTACACGAATGGCTTTGTCTGGGTCATGTATAGACACATAGTTGGCAGGTCAGCTTCCCTTTTTGGTACCAATGACCGTTGCTTTCTTATCCTACTCTTCAAATAAGTGAAATAACCAATTTAAAATGCATCCCCTTTTCAAAGGGGTATCAGATTTAAGTTACAATGAGGCCCAAATTTAACTTTAACCAAAATGAAGCATCTCCCAGCTCTACAGTAATGGGAAGCTTTAGAAAGTGTTGGGGATGTGGATTGTCTCCTAGAAGTTGATAAGGAATCTTAATGGAATCCTGGCAATAAAATAAAAATTGAGCTGAAAGCTGTTTCTCCAATCAAAGTTCGACTGCCACAGTACCATAATGTACCTTGACAGCTACGTAGCAACAAGTTATCACTTGCCAATATTCCACAAATATTTGTGGTAGCAATATGACAATAAAAAAGATGAGGTTCATTTCAGTTTTTTAAAACCAGTAATTCATGAAGCCTAATGTCTCTGGGATCCTTCCTTAAATAACTACTCTTGATTTTGGACTGCAAAGTGCAGATAGCTATGATAAATTTCAGTTACGTGAAAAGGCGAAAAGCAGTCAGCTCTCAGACTCCATTGGGACCCTGAGTCACTGGTGAGGAAATGGCCAAGTGGGATCCAGTTACAAGTAGCTTCTAGATTGGCTGAATCACTGTTGTGGTTCACAGGGCCCCCAATGGTTATTTCTATTATAGAATCATGCCCTGTCTTTTCTTAAGCATTATTTAAAAATACATATCACACATCACAAGAAAACCAGTCACATATTAACATAATAAAAGGAATAAGCATTTTAGTAGGAGTTAATTTTTTGGAAAACTGTTAATGAGAAAGCAGGGCCCTGAGAGAGCAGAATTAAGTCCAGGAGAATTTTGATGGGAGAGGGAAAGGACAGGTTCAATATGTAGAAAAGTTCCTTGCACAGGCAATGCTAGGGGTTGTGCCTTGTAGGTCAGAGCTCTGGGATGCCAGGGAGGTAACATGAAGACTGTGGTTGCGGGAAGTGGTGGCTGAGGGCACAGGAAATGACTAGGCTGAAAGTGGAGAGTTAAGGCCCAGAGAGAAGTGGTGAGAGGGCATTAATGATAAGCTCTGCCTAGATGCCAATTTCACCTCAATCAGTGAATTGCCTGGGGAGCTTGTTAAAATGAAGATTCTGATGCAGTAAGTTTGGGATGAGGCTGGAGTTGCTGCATTTCTAACTAGCTTTCAGATACTAACTGCAACATAGATGTTGCTGGAACATGGACTATTCTGCAAACATCAAGGACCTACTCTTTCATCATCGTTCCCAGACTAGTCTGAAGCAGCAGTTGGATTCCAGAGACCTGGTCCTAGTCCTGACTCTGCCACTTGCTAGTTTATTACCAAGGAAAATTGACTTGTCTTGGGCCTTCATCTGTGGCCGCTTTCCTGAAGATTGCTTCCCTTCAGGCTAGGGCAGGGCCAGTGCTGGGCACGTGGGCCTTCTCAGGTAAAGCTCCTGAGATACGTGAATGCCCTGAGTGGAGTGGAACTGCTGGGGACTGCAGCAGTAGCTCATCTCATCCTTTTTCACACTGTCAGCAGAGCCTAGTTTGTCTGCTATTTCTATTGAGCTGGAAGCCATTGCTACCCTGACATCTTATTCTTTCTCTCAACCATAAATTCGCCTGAAGAAGAGAATACACAAGAAGATCTGGGAGGTAAAGGGACTCTAAACTTCATGTCAGAGAGAGACTGTAATGTGTTGATGTTCTTGCAAAATTAAAAGTGGCATTTCATAATACTTACACATCATGTATAATTTTGCAAATATGAGAGAACAAGGCTTTTTCTCTAAGCTATAGTTAAAAGTCCATAAAATTTTTTAAGTGGCATGTTTCTAAAGTTGTTGAGAAAGACAAAACCCTTATGTTCCATGAAATTATTTATTTATTTCTATTCTTTCTTAAAAAAGAATTTGAGGTGGCAGATCCTGCTGTCCATTGGGGAGATTATTGATGCTGACCATGGAGAAACCAGTTTCCTGATGCTGCACAATTCTAGGAATTGGAGGTGTGGATGTCTGTTATTATCTTGATTCCATCGAGCAGGAGGGAGAGGACTACTCACCCTCATGTCTTCCTGTTTTTCAGGAACCATTCTTTCCCTTTTCTCAGGAAGACTAGACAGAACAGACCCATCACTGCACTGTCTGCCTTTGTATTCAACTTCATTGAATTACAGGCTCTGATAATCTGCCATGGCAGTGTGATTTCTCATGATTGCTTCTCATAAATTCTGATGAGAAGAATGCAGGCATGGGAATCATTGTCTTCTATCTTATTTCCTTTCTACAGGAAATCTCTAAGATAAACTCCATTTCCTCATGGCAAGAGGAGGCATTCCATGGGTTTAGAGATATATTCACTGGGAAGGAAAACGTTGCCTTGGGACACTTTATCCTCTGGCCATATTCCCTGTGTGTTTGACTATTTCAGCACCATTGTATTCTCAAGTGATGTAAAGCCAACATTTACTTCCTCCACCATCTGCTATGCTAATGGCCCCACTGACTCTTTGAACAAAGCTACTACCAACTTGAGACTATGCAGGTCACAAGTAATCTAGGTCACATAATTAAATACACACTATTTCACACCATCTCCTGGGATCTCACACAGTGTAAAGTATTACTTAACACAACGTGGGTATATTCATCTGTCATTTTCAGAAACTAACATATACTGCGTCAGTAGCTAAATTACTTCTCTTCAGTGAGAATTTTTCTTTGGATCCAAGAGGTTGACACTCACTTCAGATACTCCACTCCATCAGGGGTGGCTGGAACATTGTACCTTCTCATATATTCATGCATCTCTGGGAAACTTTGTCTCACATAATCTTCAGCACTGCTTTCTCGGACAGTTCCAAAGCGGAATCCTTGGGAAGGATGATGTAACTATGAGGGAGAAAAAGAAATGGCTTAAA
Source organism: Homo sapiens (assembly GCF_000001405.40). NCBI lineage: Eukaryota > Metazoa > Chordata > Mammalia > Primates > Hominidae > Homo > Homo sapiens. The sequence goes on from NC_000009.12 coordinate 101,628,431, forward strand.
TAAAAATTATTCTTAGAAGTGTTTTTTAACATTTTTTTCATAATTCTTTGAAACTTAATAATAATTCGGAACTTTTCTAACCCCCACAGGCAGAAACATGTACATAGAAATGTGCAGACATGGCTACATGCTTTTTACATCAGAAATTGCTCTATCTTTAGAAGCAAACAGATGGAAACGACAAACAAAAAATACAAAACAATTTTTTTTGCTTTATATTGGAACCTATTAGAATTCTTTAGAAGCCATGCAAATTGGCATGTAGAATTAGTCTCATTATTGTAAACTGCATATCAGACAAAGTGTACATTCATAATAAAGATTATGATACTCCTTGGTTAGAATAACATAAAGGCCAAGTTAAAACCTTACATCCTGAGATTACAATAAACCTGCGCTAATGCTGTGACTACATCACTTTTGTGTTTAGCCACCTTTAGGCTATATTACATTTTGTTTATTGAATTTATTTTTAGTGTTTTCATAAAATGTTCTCATCTAGGAGGGAGATAATACAGAGTATTTTTTTTAATAATTAGGTTTTTAAGTTGTTTACCCTAAAAATGATTAAGAACTCACTGAATATGGTGACAAATAACATATATTTGAAGATGAATTAGTTTTGACACACAGTAAAGGTGTAACAATAAGGTAATAGTTAAATAAATTATATGGTATATTCTTATAGAGTGTAATGCAACATATAAATCATGTTTGTAAAGTATGTTTCATAAAACAAGGCAAATGCTCATATGGCAAGTGGAAAAAAGCTTTCATATGGTATGATCAAAACAAAACATGTATACATTTATTTAAATGCCATGATTTCCCATATATATTATACACACACACACATACGCACATGCACACACACCTTGGAAGAAAACACATTGGTGTTGAATTTACAGATGTATTTTTTATTTACAGATTATCTGCAGAAACACTTACCATGTTTACAAGTATAAAAAATATTTTAAAATCAGCAAAATCGTTCATTTATTCAACACTTATTGAAGGCCTACTCTGTAGAGTTCTCAAAGTTACTAGGGTGACAAAGATAAATACCTGCAACCACTGCCATATAGGAACTCTTAAAACCTGTTGTTCATTGTATTTCTTTGGTATTCCACTGTTAAGTAAGTAATATAGCTTGCTCTAAGTTTAATGTAATTGTTCCATGCACTGAACAAATTCTAATGTTTTATGCCAGCATAACCTTAATGCCACATCAACAATAATAACAATACTTAACATTTATTAAACACTTATTATGCGCCAAACAAGATACTTAGAGCTTTACATACATTATCGTGCTGAATCCTCATAATAGCTTCGTGAAGAGGGCACTGTTGTTACTTCCTCTTAGGGATGAGTAAACTGAAGCTCAGAGAAGTGAAGTAATGGGCATAAGGTCATGCAGTTGTAAGTAGCAGGGACTGGCTCAGAACCCATGTCTATCTTATTTCAAAGCATGTGCTATTATCTACTACATCATCTTGCATTCTAGCTCATGACAACAACTGAAGCGATGATGTTTATTAGGAGGAACTCACCAGGCTTTTAAAAATATTATCCTTATGCCTTGAACCCCCGGGGCTGTTCTCATAGTAGCAAATTGCAGTCGTATGGCTTGCGCAAGGCACATTTATCAGCATTGTCTGTCCAACATCTATTAATTTTTCAAGACCTAGGTCAAATTTTTCTATGTAAAGTCTTTTGTCTTGTGTAGCTTCACCCTCCTACCCAGAACAACAACAATGAAAAAACTACTTATTTATCTGTGCTGATATAGTATCTTGTACATATAAAATATGTAGGCAAAGACCTAGGTGAAAATTTTCTATGTGAAGCCTTTGGTCTTGTCTAGCTTCACCCTCCTACCCAAAACAACAACAATAGAGAAACATAACTACTTATTTATCTGTGCTGATATAGTAGCTTGTACATATAAAATATGTAGGCAAATATTTATTTAAGTAATCTTTGACCTTTCCGTGCATTATCTCCTTTGATCCTACCAAGAAATGTGAGGTAGATATGTCTATCATCTTTTTACATAAAGAAACTGAAGATTAGAAAGTGTGTCATTTGTCCAAGGTCACAGAGCTAGTAATTGTACCTGGGATTGGAATTCAGCCTGATCAAAGACATTCAGCTTTTGACAACTGTGTAACATTGCTTCTGATACTATATCATACTGACTCCCTCTGTCTGGATTTGCTACTTGTATGCCAGACGGTAAGCTAAGGGCTTTTAAAATTTTCACAATAATCTTACAAGATAGATGTTATTTTCTTATTTTGCAGATTAAAACACTGAGGCTTGGATAGTTAAAGTAACACCAACTTCTCACAACTAGGAATTAACAAGCTTCAGCCCATCCTATTTTCTGTAACTTGCAGACCAACTTTCATTTGTTTGTGTAATACAGTTACCTATCACGACCTTTGGCACCTTGCAGGTAGTCTATATCTGTTTGTCAAGTTAATTCATTTTATCTAGTCTATTTTTCTATCCTGCTTTATCCATTTAACTTATATGCATTCTTCTGCTCTCAGTTCAGTAATTACTTCCCTAACTTATTGTGTAGGCCAGATTCTTTTTTCGTAAGCCCTTACAGTACATATACCTATCTTTTGTAGAATCTATCACAGTTGCAGTTTTAAATTTAATTATGTAATCATGTGATTAGCGTCTAGACTCTCAGTTTCTTCACTAACTGGAAGCTCCATGTAAACAAGAATAATGTTAATTTTAATTTATCCTTGTATTTCTAATGCCTTTCATTTTGTAGTTGCTCAAGAAAATACTTGATGAGTAATTAATTGATAACTGTTCTTTGAACTTAGAGGAAGGTGACAGCTTTGTCATCTCACTTAGCACAAACTAAGCTAACAGTATAGCTTACAACTCAAGCTTTCTAAACAAACCCTCTCTTTAAGGTAAAAGGGCTGTAGAATCATTAATTAAAATACCTTTCTCTCATATAGAAACAGAATTCCTTCCAGAAATACATTCTTTACATTATGTTGTGATAATACTTTTATGGTCTATGACCAGGATTTTTAGGGAAATCCTGCTTTTCTGGGTCTCATTTTCTTTTCTGAATGCACCAGCACATCGTTCCTTTCCAAAGCATGGAAGGAATCAGGGAACCAGCAGACCCAGGCTCAGAATTCTGCTGGAGGACTGTCTCTTTGTGTTTTTCCTTTGCATGACTTTCTGTTGTATTTGCTCATCAGCTCCCATATCTGTCTTATTGGCTCTGTGAAGGCAAAGGTTCTGAGGTTCTGAGAATTGAAAGTTCCTTCAAGGATTAGCAAATAAGCAGACTCCAGGAGAGAAAGCATCTTATTAGCCTGACAGGGACCTCACTCTAACATGGAGATGTTTTGCAAACACTGCCACTGCTCTTATTTGAGTCACCATCATTTCTGTCATCCACATATTCCCTTTCTTCCTTTCTGATCCACTCAGAGAAATTTTAGAATTCAGATCTGATCATGTCCCTCACTTGCTTAATGCCCATCAATGGCTCCCCCATGGCCCTTGGGATGAAGTCCAAACTCCTCACATGGCCTCTAAGGTTCAGCATGTTTGGCTCCTGCCTTCCTTTTCCTAGCCTTGTCGTCCTGCTCTCCCCCTGGCCTTCCAAGCTTTGGCCAGTTCTCTCATTTCCAAAACAAACATTTTGCTTGGTCAGAGCTCTTGCATATAGTCTTCAGTCGGCCTGGGACACTTTTTCCTCATCCCTACTTCTTTGTCTAGCTAACTCTTAAATGTCACTTCCTGAGGAAAACCTTCACTGACCCCTAGACCTGTAACACCCTCCCATTATACCTACAGTTTCACATAGCACTGACAACACTTGGGATTATTTTTATAATTTGCCTTCCCTGCTAGATTGTAAGTTTCCATGAGGATGGTGCCCATAGTGATCTCATTCATGTGGTTGTAAGTCTTCAACAAATGTTAGCTGCTATTATTATTATCATTGTTATGCAACAAGCACAGGGCTTAGCACATAGTATATGCTTGATAAATAATGACATAATAAATGAATTGTCATCATTATTAAGAGAATGAATGAAATTCTCTTAGGTTAGATACATTAAAAATTTGGTGGTTTTTATCACACCTCCTGCTGTCTTTTTTCTCCTTAAAACTAATTTTTTCCTTTGTTACTTTAATTCATTCAAAATGATATATTCTTCTTTCTTTCTCTGTGTGAGATTATATTGAAAAATAACCATGGGCTACTCAGCAGTCACAGAATAATAGAATCAGAAAAGGGATCTAAGAAGCTATTGATGCAACCCAGTGGGCCAGGATGGTCTACCCTGTGTGTAATTCAGACAGCCAGGGATGTCAGAAAGCCTGCATCAAGGAAAAAGGATAAAAGTGTACAAACAGCTTAAGCATTTGAGCTGCATTACAACCATCACCAAGAAGTCCCAGTGAGAGAAGCATTTCTTTAAAGTTTCAGCTAAATACCTCACCAGCTCTTCCGATTCTGTTTATATTTGCATCAACCTTTTTAGGCCTTGGGGAAATATCTAAGGTTAAACTGTCTATTTGTATGTGAATTGTTCAGTATTAATGGAATACTGACCTCTACACAGAGTACCTACATGGAGAATAATCAGACATTCCCGAGAAAGCAGAGAAATGGCTCAAAACAAAATGAGGCGAACTCGGGAAATAATCAAGTTGCTATATCCAAGGTAGATGTAATGTTGCAGATTAAAAAATAATCCCAGTGCTGAGTATACTCATTTAAGGTCTTCATCTGTACCCATCTGAGATTAGTACTTAATTCATCAGTGAAATGTAGTCACTGGACCTGGTATTATGTTCTTTGGAGTTGGGTGGAAAGGGCTATTCCTAACTTGCCTAGTGGAATAGGATATAGTATGTATTGAATTCCCAGCTCCCTTCTACTGCATTACTTTATCCACTTATAACCTGTGGATGCTATAGTATCAAGTGGTCTCAGGGATGGAAGGGGCTTTGCAAGTCTAATCATCCACTAATGTCTGAGTCATCAGTGGACGATTAGCAGGGGTCCCAAACCCCTGGGCCATGGACAGGTAATGGTCCGTGGTCTGGTGGAACCAGGTGACACAGCCATGGGCAAGTGAGCATTATGGCCTGAGCTCTGCCTCCTGTAAGGTCAGCAGCGGCATGATATTCTCATAGGAGCATGAACCCTATTGTGAACTGCAAATGTGAGAGATCTAGGTTGCACATCCCTTACAAGAATCTAATGATAAATGTAATATACTTGGATTATCTCCAAACCATTACCACCCACCCCCAACCCATCCATGAAAAAATTGTCCACAAAATCGGTCCCTGGTGCCAAAAAGGTTGGGGACTGCTGCTTTATAGCAAGGTTAAATGTACTGACTAAGGTTTCTTCAAAATGTAGATTCCAATTCAGTAGGTCTAGGTGGAAGCTTAAGACTCTGCACCAACAAACTGCTAATTGATGCAAATGTCATGGTTTATGGACCAGGCTTTGAGTAGCAAGATTTTACTTATAATATTCCTATGAAGTGCCTGTTACGCTGTTACTTCTCTGCTTGATCATCTCCAGTGACAAGAAAATTACTCCTCCTGGCCGGGCATGGTGGTTTACGCCTGTAATCCCAGCACTTTGGGAGGCCGAGGCGGGTGGATCACGAGGTCAGGAGATCGAGACCATCCTGGCTAACACGGTGAAACCCTGTCTCTACTAAAAATACAAAAAGTTAGTTGGGAATGGTGGCGGGTGCCTGTAGTCCCAGGTATTCGGGAGGCTGAGGCAGGGGAATGGCGTGAACCCGGGAGGCGGAGCTTGCAGTGAGCCGAGATCGCGCCACTGCACTCCAGCCTGGGTGACAGAGTGAGACTCCGTCTCAAAAAAAAAAAAAAAAAAAAGAAAATTACTCCTTTTGAGGCATAGCTTCTGTAAATGAAAGGTGACTTTTGTCTCCACACAACCAATTGATTCTATCTGAATATATAATAATAATAAAATAACAGCTAATATTTTATAATATTTATTATATGCTAATAAATTCATATCTAATGAGATTGCTACTTTTATTATTTATTATTACATATGAGGAGCTGTGATTCGGGGAGATTAAACACCTTGTCTAAGATGATCAGAAAGTGATAAAGTTGGATTTAAAACCAACCCTGACTTGAAGTTCTTAACATACCCTTATCTAGCACTACATTCTGCATTTATAGACTTGTATTATTGTCCAAGTCTTGTGAAAATCCAACTAATATATACCTATCCAACTAATAAATACCAATTAATATATACCTATTTGTGCTGCAACTTCAGAATCAATTTATTATAGTTGTGATCATATAATTTATAGTGCAAACTGGGACAGTTCTCTAAAAGGGGGACACTATTGATGATCACACAAGGACAAAAGACACACTCGGACTATCCTGGAAAACAAGTATGTATGTTTACCCTAGTTATTACTCATGCTCTGAATATTAGAATACAGAAAAACAATGCCAAAAAGAATGTTGCTGAGGTCCACCCTGTATTTTTTCTAATGTGAATTACTAAGTACATCTTATGCTGCAGTTCTTTTTCATGTTATTCCTATTTTCTTCCACAGAAGCTGCTTCCTCCATTTAAATTTAAGCAGTTTGCTGCCTCTCCCTTCTTCTTTCTGAAGCCGTCTACGTTAGGTCAGCTAATCTCTAGTCAACAACATTCTTTGACATCATGTTTGATTTATATGAGCCTTAGCCTAGGTTCTTCTGACAACTTGAGTCATTGCATCAAGTCTCTTGTAGGGACTAGAGGTCAGCAAATTACGGTCTATGGGCCAAATCTAGCCTGCTACCAGTTTTTGTCAATCAAGTTTTATGGGAACACAGCCATGCCCATTCATTTATGTATTGTCTATGGCTGTTTTTGCACTACAACAGTAGAGGTGAGTAAGTACAAAAGAAAACATATGGCCCACAAAACCTAAAATCTTTACCACCTGGCCCAAACAGGAAATGTTTGCTGTCCCCTGATATAGACAATTTGAATCTAACTAGCTTCTTGACTCCCATATTTCAAATTTTTCTCTCTATTCTAAAATCCTAAAGAAAGAGTCATCTTTGCAGGTAAATAAACAGAGGTAAGGTTTAATAAATGTCAGCAGGCTTCCTGGCACTGTCCAGATTTAGGCTGTAGTGTGATGACACACCTTATTTCTAGCTGCATTGGAGTATCAGTCTCCCTACTGGAGGTCTTGACTACTGCAGCTCTTTGCTTCTTTTTAGGACTAGAAATAGGAAGACTCTGGTCACAAAATTTCAAACTGAAGCAACAGTATGACATTTGGACTGATTTTAGATTCTATCCCAGGGACAGATGCTTTTGGAGCAGACCCCGTAAGGCTGAGGTTATAAAAATTGGCCAGTGGCCCACCTACTCACTTTATTTATTTGTTTGTTTATTTATTTTTGAGATGGAGTCTCACTCTGTCGCCCAGGCTGGAGTGCACGATCTCAGCTCAGTGCAACCTCCGTCTCCTGGATTATCATGCCCCAGCCTCCCAAGTAGCTGGGATTATAGGCATGCACTACCATGCCCAGCTATTTTTGTGTGTGTGTGTTTTTAGAAGAGAAGAGGTTTCACCATGTTGACCAGGCTGGTCTTGAACTCCTGACCTCAAATGATCTGCCTGCTTCGGCCTCCCAAAGTATTGGGATTACAGGCGTGAGCCACCGCACTCACTTTAGCTGAGTTTTGTTCATTCCAACTTCTTCTTTGCCACTTTCCTCCATTCCACATCCTTTTCGTCCAGACTTTGTGTATCTGCCATATCATTAAAGTGGAGATATTTATTTTCTCTATATTATGTCTTCTATTATTTTAATAATGATAATAGCTAATCTTTATTAGGTGCCTCCTTCATTCCAGGCACTGTGCCAGGATCTTAAATTCATTGCTTTGTTGAATGCTCACGGCATCCTTTGTGGTACATACAGTTGTTTTCCCCGTTTTAAAAATGGAGGAACTGAAACTTGGAGCTATTAAGCAACTTGCTCAAGGCCACAAAACTGGAATATGGCAGATCAAGGACATGAATCCAGAAACCTGAGAACTTGCACTATTAATCTCTAGTTTACTTACCTCTAGTATATATTGTTATCTCGAGTATATTATTCTAAATTTTTCTCTAATATATAACTGCCTCCAGGAAAGGTTTTTCTTCTTAGAGAAGCTGTAGATAAGATAGGCATTACTCAAACCTAATGATAATTTAATCCAAAAAACTAGTGCCAGTTTATAGAATTAAAAGACAAATAGCCCGTGACCTTTGGGTTTATAAACAATATGCTTATCACAGTTATAGCAACGGCAGCAACAACAGCACCATTTGAACAGTGTTGTTTACAAAATGCATCCACGCATATTATTTCATTCACAAGTCACACTCGGATGGCTTCTGTGTCCTATTCATTCATAAAAGGTGAAAAAACAAGCTAAATATATCGGCTACATTTTCTAAAACAAGACATTCCTTATGTGCCCTTGGGGGTTCAAACATTTATATTCAACTTCTAGCAATCTTAGTGGTGGCTGTAGGAGGACTGAGACCTGCTCCTTCTTCCCTCATACACATTTCTGCTTCTACACTGGACATTTTTTTTTTCTTTTTTTGAGACAGAGTCTCGCTCTGTCGCCCAGGCTGGAGTGCAGTGGCGCCATCTCGGCTCACTGCAAGCTCCGCCTCCTGGGTTCGCACCATTCTCCTGCCTCAGCCTCCCGAGTAGATGGGACTACAGGCGCCCTCCACCACGCCCAGCTAATTTTTTTGTATTTTCAGTAGAGATGGGGTTTCACCATGTTAGCCAGGATGGTCTCCATCTCCTGACCTCGTGATCCACCCGCCTCGGCTTCCCAAAGCACTGGACATTTTAACATTTCTTTTTTCCACTCAGTTTACAGGTGGGAGCTAGGGCATAAACTAGAAGAGAGATGTCAAAGTTGGGAGGCTGTAAAAATATGGAGCATGGGCTAGAGAAAACAATGGTTAACTGGAGGAGATGTTACAGATCTTTTAGTCCATCCTTTTATTTTTATAGATAACAATACAGGTAGTTTCCATCTATTAAATATTTCCCATTTATTAAGTACTTCCCATATTTCAAGCATTTTGCTAACACCTTAACGTGAATTATATGATTTAAACCTCTAACAACAATACTAAATAAGCAATATTTGTTACAATCTCCAAATTTCACATGAGAAACTGAGGCTTGAATTTAACTAATGTGTCCCAGATAACTCAGGAAATAGGCATAAAGGAGAGTTCTGAACCAAATCTAATTCCAGAGCCTTTGTATCCAAACATTATACTGTACTACTTCCTGATCTAGGCAGGAAGGTGATTTAGGCCCATAATAAGTGTGAAGAAGGGACTTGCTCCAGGTCACAAAAAGTGATGTAAGAGTGAGCTTGAAAAATCCTAACTCAGGGCTAAATACAATCTGTCCCCTCCCCACCTGAATATGGCTAATAAAAATAATTGCTCCTTGTTTCTCTCTGGTATCCTATGTTCAACATGCACCCCATCTACTATTTATAAAATAAGTTTCTAGTCTTTATTTTCTTTTCTAAGGAATAATTTTCTGAATTATATTTGCTCAGCCACATCTGTGAAATAGCACTGCAGTACTCATTTCCTGAGCCTCTGGATGTACCTCGGTATTTTTCTGTCTCATTTATTGTAATGAAAGTGTAGAGCCTATCATCATGGTCTCCAACTGAAGTATCTGTCTACTTTTAGATACTATGGAGACCAAGCCAACAAATTATAGAATTTCAACAAAGGAATCATTGCTATTCTGCTGCAAAGGTTCTATCTCTTTGTTTCTTTTCTTTCCCTTTCTTTTCATGCAAGTCATTTTGTTTTGCCTCTTCTATGACCCTGGCCTCCATGTCTTCTCATTTTATTCATCTGGAGCAATCTATCCTTTTTAGTTCACTGAGGCTCTTCCAATTGTCTTATTGAAAATCCTCTTCAAATCCTATTTTATGTTAAGTAATCTTGTGGAGTTAAGTCTGTTTCTCCCTTATGTGTAAGACAAATTATTTCACCACTGGTGCTGCCAACACTATTGGTGTTTCCACACAAAGCATGGGATATTAATAACCATAATGGTGATGATGATCATGATGTAGCTCACCATGTGCCAGGCACTGTTGAATGGTTTATATGTATGAACTTTTAAAATCCTTAGAATAGCTAACCAACTTCTATAAGTTTATGGAAACAGTAAATGACAAAACTGGGCAGAGCTGGTTCTATCGTATACGACCTGGATTACTATAGTACACAGTAAACAAGTTTTTGGCATTACTAGCTATCCCCTTAATTGCTTGGCGTTAGACTCAGTTCCCTTATCTGCAAAATGGCTAATTGAAAGAGTTCAGCCATTGTACATGTAGCCAACAACCCACTGTAGGAGTTTAACTAGCCCATAACAATCTGTTAATACTAGTAGCTATCATTGATTGTGCTGGTTTATGCGCTTGGCCCTCCACATTCGTCATCTCATTTCAGCCTTCCTATGCCCTACGAGGTAGGCTCTGTTAATAACTGCAGTTCATGCATGAGTGAAATGAAGCTTAGAGACATGAGATAACTTTCTCCAGGCTCTTCAGCCTATGTTGTTGGAGTCAGTTGTTATGCATACTTACAAGCTGATTCTAGAACCCAACTACCAGGTACGATACTGTCTTACATGAGACTTTTAAAGGTAAGTATGATCATAATATAATTACCTTAGATCCATTATTTACCTTAAGATGTGATTTCACTGTAATTGTCAGGACTGGGGCTGAACTAGGTCAGCTGAGGCCAGAACTGATGCTATAGGGCTTCTTACAGAAAAAAAAAAAGGAGGATGCCTTTAAGCCTATGGCATCAGAATAACCCCGGCTTTTTGTTTATATAATTGACTTGCTATACAGCCAAACTTCAAGGTGAAAAATGACCTGTGGACTGTGGAACTCAAACTTCTCTCTTGAATCATTGCCCATCACCAGCTGTGTACTATACCCTGCAGACTGAGCAGGCAGTAAGGTCCTTGCCAAACCTAGAGTCAGCAATTTTGGGCTGATGAAATGCAAATGAATAAAAACAGCTATAAATTTACCTCCAGTCTAGTGATGTAAGCCTTTTGGCACAGCTACTCAAATCCTCATGGCATAGGAACTTTTAAAATGCCAGTTTTTACTTAATTAGATAACTCAGAAGGATTAAATATTAAAGCATGTCCAATCTGGCCTTCATTCAAGATGGGCTGGGTACAAAAATATCAGTAGAAGGTTTAACCTAAAGGTAAGAAGTTATACAGCATAGACCCCAGGAAACCAGCCTCACAGGCTCCTAAAAGCAAATCATCAGACAAACAGAAAGATAAACTACTGAATAACAATAAAAAGAAAAATCCTTTCCTCTTGCTTTATTTTTCTCTTAGGCTAGCTCTTGGGGTTATCTCATAATTTTGTTTGTCATGGCTAAATAGTCAATTTGTCTTTGTTCTGGAATGCTCAGAGAATCAGTGAGTGAGCCATTATTATGGAGGAACCCTCAAAGATTCAGGCATATATTCTGAATAACTACATTTAGGAATAGTGGATGCCTCCCTTCTCCCCCGCCTCCTTCAGTATACATATACCATATATACTATATAGTGTATAGTATAAAGCCTGTAGCTTTCTACCCAGCATTTACACTTGAGACAATCTCCCAGTTTATGACTAATCTAGTGTTTGCTTATCTTTCTTTTCTGTTCAGCACATTTGCTTCTGCTGCATGAATCACAAGAGCAGCACAACTAAAGTAGCATTTTGCTTTGTGAGCCAAGCATCTGAAGGCAGCAGTCAGCTGAGTAAAAAAGACACTTTCCTTCTTCTTTCTTTGCAAATTTGAGAAAATTTTCATGCATCAGTAACAAAAAACACATGGAATGATTTGTAAAGTTTGCAGTTGAGATAAATGAGGATTAGTGAGATTAAGCAATTTGGCCAAGATTAGACAGTGAAGTGGAACTATGGCTTACATACATTTGACATAACCAGAATGTTAGTTCTGTTTCCACTACCTTGTGTAATCCTTATAGCAAAGAGACTGATATGGTTTGGCTGTGTCCCCACGCAGATCTCAAGTTGTAACTCCCACAATTCCCATGTGTTGTGGGAGGGACCCAATGGGAGGTAATTGAATCATGGGAGTGGGTCTTTCACTTGCTGTTCTTGTGATAGTGAATGAGTCTCATGAGATCTGATGGTTTTATAAAGAGGAGGTTCCCTGCACAGGCTCTCCTTCTCTGCCTGCTGCGATCCACGTAAGACATGACTTGCTCCTCCTTGCCTTCCACCATGAGTGTGAGGCCTTTCCAGCCATGTTGAGCTGTAAGTACATTAAACCTCTTTTTCTTTCCAGTCTCGGTATGTCTTTATCAGCAGTATGAAAACAGGCTAATACACAGACTAAACATGAAATGTGGAGTTTACAGTTCATGTGGAGAAATAGGCTAAGTGAAAACTGAAAGAGCAGACCAGCTTTATGAACTGTCTCTCTGGTGACTAGATAGTATCAGTAAATTCTTACTAAGCGTTGGATGAATGAATATGCCTAAAGCATAGGAAAAGAAAAAAAATAAAAAGTTGAAACAACAGGTGCTAGAGAGGATGTGGAGAAATAGGAATACTTTTACATTGTTGGTGGGACTGTAAACTAGTTCAACCATTGTGGAAGTCAGTTTGGCGATTCCTCAGGGATCTAGAACTAGAAATACCATTTGACCCAGCCATCCCATTACTGGGTATATACCCAACGGATTATAAATCATGCTGCTATAAAGACACATGCACACGTATGTTTATTGTGGCACTATTCACAATAGCAAAGACTTGGAACCAACCCAAATGTCCAACAACGATAGATTGGATTAAGAAAATGTGGCACATATACACCATGGAATACTATGCAGTTCATGATGAGTTCATGTCCTTTGTAGGGACATGGATGAAACTGGAAACCATCATTCTCAGCAAACTATCGCAAGAACAAAAAACCAAACACTGCATGTTCTCACTCATTGGTGGGAATTGAACAATGAGAACACATGGACACAGGAAGGGGAACATCACACTCTGGGGACTGTTGTGGGGTGGGGGGAGAGGGGAGGGATAGCATTAGGAGATATACCTAATGCTAAATGACGAGTTAATGGGTGCAGCATACCAACATGGCACATGTATACATATGTAACAAACCTGCACATTGTGCACATGTACCCTAAAACTTAAAGTATAATAACAATAAAATTAAAAAAAAAAACGAAATGCAATAAAAAAAAAGTTGACTTAGAAACTAAAACTTCATGATGTTAGTTTACACAATTGCACTTAAATGTATTTCATTGGTTTAAAAAAGTAACTGTGAGTGGTAGCTATTTGATTGTTTGATAATCATCATCTGTTACAGCAGTATTCATTTAAAAAGTAACTAAAAAGTTGATGATTTTGTAATTGCAACAGAACCCAAATAACCAAAGCAATCTTGAGAAAAAAGAGCAAAGCTAGAGGCATCATAATACTTGATTTCAAAATATACTATAAAGCTATAGTAATCAAAACAGTATGGTATTGGCATAAAAACAAACACATCGACCAATGGAACAGAATAGAGAACCCCAAAATAAATCCATGCATATATGGTCAACTAATCTTCAATGAAGGTCCCAGGAATACACAATAGTGAAAGGATAGTCTCTTCAATAAATGATGTTATAGAAACTGAATATCCATATGTAAGTGAATAATATTTGCCCTTTACCTGGCAGCATACATTAAAACCAACTCAAAATAGATTAGAGAGTTAAATGTAAGACCTGAAAACATAAAAATCTTACCAGAAAACACAGAGGAAAAGATCATTGACATTGGTGTTGGCAATGACTTTATGAATATGACTCTAAAAGCACAGGCAACAAAAGTAAAATTAAACAAATGGGATTCCATCAAACTAAACAGTTTCTGCCTAGCAAAGTAAATAATCAACAAAATGAAAGGGCAACCTATGAAATGAGATAAAGTATTTGCAAGCCATATACCCAAGCCATATCCTCAGCCAGCAGGCCAACTGGTCCATGGCCTGTTAAGAACTGGCCACACAGCAAGAGATGACTGGTGGGTGAGCAATGAAGCTTCATCTGTATTTACAGCCACTCCCCATCACTCACATTATAGCCTAAGCTCTGCCTGCTGTCAGATCAGCAGCAGCATTAGATTCTTAGGAGCATGAACCCTATTGTGAACCCCACGTGCGAGGGATCTAGGTGGCAAGCATTAGATTCTTATGAGAATCTAATGATTCTGTTATGAGAATCTAATGCCTGATGATCTGTCACTGTCTTTTATCACCCCCAGATGGGATCACCTAGTTGCAGGAAAATAAGCTCAGGGCTCCCACTGATTCTACATTATGATGAGTTGTGTATCATAATGTAGAAATTATTTCATTATATATTACAATGTAATAATAATAGAAATAAAGTGCACAATAAATGTAATGCACTTGAATCATCCCAAAACCATCCTTCCCCACCATCTGTGGAAAAATTGCCTTTCATGAAACTGGTCTCTGGTGCCAAAAGGTTGCAGACCACTGATATATGTGATAGGGGGCTAATATACAAAATATATTAGAAACTCATTCAGCTCAATAGCAAACAAACAAACAAAAACAAATAATACAATTAAAATGTGCTAAGGATCTTGAATAGATATTTTTCCAAAGAAGATATACAAATAGCCACAAAGTATATGAAGAAGTGCTCAAGATCACTAATCATCAGGAAAACGCAAATCAAAACCACAATGAGTTATCACTGTATACCTGTTAAGATGACTATTATCAAAAGTTGAATAATAACAAGTGTTTGTGAGGATATGGAGAAAATGTAACCCTTGTACACTGACAGTGGTATTGTAAAATGATTCAGCCATTATGGGAAACACCATGGAGTTTCCTCAAAAAACTAAAAATAGAACTGCTATATGATCCATCACTTCCACTCCTGGGTATATATTCAAAGGAACTGAAATCAGTAACTTGAAGAAATATCTCTACTTTCATGTTTATTACAGCACTATTCACAGTAGCTAAATCATGTAAGCAACCTAAATGTCTCTCTCTCTCTCTCTCTCTCTCTCTCTCACACACACACACCCACACGAATATTATTCAGCTCTAACACGGAAGGAAATAATGCTGTTTATGACAACACGGGTGAACTCAGAGGATATTATGTTAAATGAAATAAGCCAGACACATGAAAACAAATACTGTATAATTCCACTTCTATGTGGAATCAAAAAAAAATTCAAACTTGTAGAAGCAGAGTAGAATGGTGGTTGCCAGGGACTGTGGAGAGGATGGCGGGATATTCATCAGTTATAAGATGAATAAGTTCTGGGAATTTAATGTACACTATGGTGACTGTAGTTAATAATAGTATATGGTATATATAAAATTTGGTAAGACAGTAGTTATTAAATGTTCTTACTATATCAAAACAAAAGTAACTATATAAGGTTATAGATATGTAAATAGTTAAAAATCACTTCACAATGTACACATATATAAAACATGTTAGAAAACTTAAATGCATATAATTTTCATTTTTTAAATGAATAAAAATTGATTTTTAAATTTGTTTACTTATTAAACTCCAAATCAACTCTTCATTTTTCTTTTCATCATTTTCCGATAATTTTCAGATAAACTGGCTCATTTCCAGGTAGACTATTTCTTCTTAGAATTATAGAATGTTAGCCTTAAAGTGATGTTACACCTTAATTAAAAATCTTTGGTTTACAGATGAAGAAACCGGAATTGATGATGTTAGGACTTGTTCAAGATCAAAGACTTGATTATTGAAAAGGTGGGATCAGAACTTAGTTCCTGGCCCCTTGAAATTACATTAGTCACTCAAAAAAAAAAAAAAAAAACACAGTGTGAATACATAGATATGTATGTGGTAAAGGTAAAATGGAATGAAAATAACCCTGAATATTTGTATCAATGTTTGAACTGTTGAAATGGAAATTATGGAAAAACTTAACTAGTTCTACTTCATAAAAATTCTTCAAAATCATACTCATTTATTTAATCCGACAAGTAATTCGTGACTCCATTCTCACTGTAAAACTCAAACGGAAGTTTTATAGCATAAACAAATGTATTATCTCTTTTTCCTCTCTAATTCTATTGCCTTCTTCAGAAGTAGCCATTGTTGATTTTTCAGTGGTCATCATGAGTATTTTTGAGTTCATCTCACTTTCTCTATACCCCCATTTTCTGGGGCAGAGCTTGTTATTTAGATGTCCCTTTTCCCTCTATTTTTTATTAATAGAAAATAATTGCACATATTTATGGGGTACATGTGATATTTTGAGACATGCATACAATATGTAATGATCAAATCAGGATGATTAGGATATTAATCATCTCAAATGTTTATCATTTTTTGTGTTATGAACATTCCTAATTTTTTCTTCTAGCTGTTTTGAAATATAATATAAACTATTGTTAACTACAGTCACCCTACTGTGCTACCAAACACTGTAACTTATTTCTTCTAACTGTGTTTCTGTACCTATTAAGCAACCTTTCCTCATCACCCCTCCCCCCATGCTTCCTAACCTCTAGTAACCATCATTCTACTCTCTGTCTCCGTGAAATCGATTTTTTTAACTCCCATGTTGGAGTGAGAACATGTGATTTTTGTCTTTCTGTGCTTGGCTTATTTTACTTAAACTAATGACCTCCAGTTCCATCAGTTTTGCTGCGAATGACAAGTTCTTTTTATGGCTGTATAGTGTTCCATTGTGTATGTCACGTTTTCTTTATCCACTCATTTGTTGATAGACACTTAGGTTAATTACATATCTTTGCTATTGTGAATAGCACTGTAAGAAACATGCAGATGCAGATACATTTCTTTGATATACTGATTTCCTTTCTTTTGGATATATACCCAGCAGTGGGATTGCTGGATCTTATGGTATGATTGCTGGATCAGCAGCGGATTGCTAGATCTACTCCTAGTTTTTTGAGAGGCCCCAATAATGTTTTCCATAGTGGCTGTACTAATTTACATTCCTACCAAGAGTGTACTAGAATTCCAATTTCTCTGCATCCTTGATGGCATATATATAGATTATATATATAAAATATATATATTAAATGTTATATATTATATGTTATATATTACATATATTTTATAAAAGCCATTTAACTGGGTGAAACGATACCTCATTGTGGTTTCAATTTGCATTTCCCTTATGATTAGTGATGTTGAGCATTTTTTCATATACCTGTTGGCCATTTCTATGTCTTCTTTTGAAAAATACATATTCAGATCATTTGCCCATTTTAAAATTAGATTATTTGCTTTTGTTTTGGCTACAGAATTGTTTGAGATCCTTTTATAACCTGGTTATTAATCCCCTGTTGAATGAATAGTTTGCAAATATTTTCTCTTATTTTGCCTCTTTGCTATATTGATTTATTTTTATTTTTTTGTGGTACAGAAACCTTTTAGCTCAATGTAGTCCTGTTTGTTTATTTTTCCTCACGTTGCTTGTGCTTTTGAGATCTTACCCAAAAAATCTGCCAAGACCAATGTCCTGAAGCATTTCCCAATGTTTTTTTCTAGTAGTTTCATAGTTTCAGGTCTTATATGTAAGTCTTTAAACCATTTTGATTTGACTTTTGTATAATGTGAGAGATGGGGGTCTAGTTTTATTCTTCTCCATATGGAGATCCAGTTTTCCTAGTACCAGTTATTGAAGAGACTGTCTCTTCAATATGCATTGAAACAATATACACTGTTTACGCAAGGTTTATGTGTCCATTTTTATGTCAGTATTGTGCTTCCACTTACTATAGCTTTGTAGTATATTTTGAAATCAGGTAGTGTGCTGATGCCAGGATTATTCTTTTTGCTTAGGATTGCTTTAGCTATTTGGAGCCTTTTGGGGTTACATTACAATTTTAGAATTGTTTTCTCTATTTCTTTGAAGAATATCATTTGTATTTTCATAGGGATTGTATTGAATTTGTAGATCACTTTGGGTAGTGGGAACATTTTAACAATATTAATTATTCCAATCCATGAGCATAGGATATCTTTCCATTTTTTTCTGTCCTCTTCAATTTCTTTAATCAGTGTTTTATAGTTTTCATTCTAGAGATCTTTCTTTGGTTAAATTTATTCCTATTTTATTCTTTTGGTAGCTACTGCGCATGGGATTGCTTTCTCAATTTCCTTTTTAGATTGTTTACTGTTGGTACATATAAATGCTACTAATCTTTGTATCCTGCAACTTTACCAAATTAATTTATTAGCTCTAATAGTTTTTTTTGTAGAGTCTTTAGGGCTTTCTAAATATAAAAAAAAATCTGTGAAAAAGGATAATTTGACTTTTTCCTTTCCAATTTGGATGCTTTTTATTTCTTTCTCTTGCTTAATTGCTCTTACTAGGACTTCCAGTACTATGTTGAATAAAAGTGGTAAAAGTGTGCATCCCTATCTTGTTCCAGATCTTACAGTAAGGGGTTTCAGTCTTTCCCCATTCAGTATGATACTAGCTGCGAGTCTGTCATATACGGCTTTTGTTGTTTTAAGGCATGTTCATGCTATACCCAGTTTGTTGAGAGTTTTATCATAAAGGGCTGCTGAATTTTATGAATGCTTTTTCAGTATCTCTTGAAATGATCATATGTTTTTTGTTCTTGATTCTGTTAATGTGATGTATCATATTTACTGAGTTGTGTGTGTTGAACCATCCTTCTGTCCTTGAGATTAATCCTACTTGGTCGTGGTGAATGATCTTTTTCAGGGGCTGTTGAATTTGGTTTGATAGCACTTTGTTGAGGATTTTTGCAACTAGATTCATCAGTGAAATATTGGCCTGTAATTTTCGCCTTTTTTTTGTGTCTTTGTCTGGTTTTGGTACTAGGATGCTGTTGATCTTGTAGAATGAGTTTGGAATTATTTCCTTCTCTTCAATTTTTTCAAAATAGTTTGAGTAGAATTGGTATTAGTTCTTTTAAAGTTTGGTTGAATTCCGCAGTGAAATTGTCAGCTCCTGGGCTTTTCTTTGATGGGAGACTTTTTGTTACTGCTTCAGTCTTGTTACTTATTATTAGTCTGTTCAGGTTTTCTATTCCTTCATCATTTGATCTTGGTAGGTTGCATACCTCCAAGAATTTCTTCTAGGTTTTTCAATTTGCCGGAGTATAGTTGTTAATAACGGTCTCTGTTGATCCTTTGTAGTTCTGTGGTATCAGTTACAATGTCTCCTTTTTTGTTTTTGGTTTTATTTGTTTGCATCTTCTTTCTTTTTTCTTAGTTTAGCTAAAGGTTTGTCAATTTTGTTTACCTTTTCAAAAATCCAACTACTCATTTTGTTGATCTTTTGTATTTTATTTTAGTCTCAATTTTATTTATTTCTGCTCTGATATTTATCATTTTTTCTTCTATTAATTTTGGGTTTGGTTTATTCTTGCTTTTCTAGTTCGTTGAGGTGCATTATTTGGAAATCTTGCTTTTTTGGTGTGTTTATTGCTGTAAACTTTCCTCTCAGAACTGCTTTTGCTGAATCCCATAGCTTTTGATGTGTTGTGTCTCCATTTTTGTTAGTCTCAAGGAATTTTTAAATTTCCTTTTTAATTTCTTTATTGACTCATTCATAGTTCAGGAGCATGTTGTTTAATTTCCATAATCTGTACAGTTTCCAACATTCCTTCTGCTATTGATTTCTAGTTTTATTTCATCATGGTAAGAAAAGATACTCAATATGATTTTGATTTCTAAAATTTTGTTGACTTGTTTTGTGACCTTACATGTGGTCTCTATTGGAGAATGTTCCATGTGCTATTAGGAAAATGTGTATTCTTCAGCTGCTGGATGGAATGTTCTGTAAATATTTATCAGGTTCATTTGGTCTAGAGTGTAATTTAACTCCAATTTTTCCTTGTTGATATTCTGTTGTATGATCTGTTCATTGGTGAAAGTGGGATCCTGAAGTCTCTACTATTAAAGTATTACCATTAATCTCTCCCTTTAGTTCTATTAATATTTGTTCTATGTATTTAGGTACTCCAGTGTTGAATACATTTATATTCACAATTGTTATATCCTTTTGCTGAATTGACACATTTATCATTATGTAATGACCTTTTTTGTCACTGCTGGAGCTTTGTTAGTTTCTTTTGGTGATGTAGTATTTCCCCAAGTTTCACAATCCTTGAATCTTTACTTCGATGCCTGTACATTTGAGGAGACAGCCATCTCTTCCAGTTTTTGTGGGTGTTGTTTGGTGGTGTTAGAACTTTACTTCTAATGTCAGACTTAAACACTGGACTGTTTTTTTTTCCCATTATGGGAAGAACTTATAGTGAGCACTGGAACTAAAACATTGCATTGAACTTAACTCACTGCCCTGTCATTGTTTCCCCATCAGAGGAAGACATAATGGAAACCAGAACTTAAATACTACTCTTGAACTAAATTGATGCCTTTCCATTGTTCTTAATTCTGAGGAAGACTTATCAAAAGCACCAGAGCTCAAAAGCTGCCATAAAACTATATTGCTGTCCTGCCATTGTTTCACAGTCCGGTAAAGACTAAAATGAGCACTGGAACTTAATCCTTGCCTTATAATTGTTTCCAGGCCAGGAGAGTTCTCCATGTGAGCACATGGAATTTGTGGAAAATCTGGCTAGGGTTTGGGCCTCCCTGCCTATTGTTTCCCCTGCAGCACGGTAGCATCAGCCACATGGTGTCTTTGCTGATTAGAGTGCCAAGTAGCCTCCAAGATCTGTGCACCAGTTGCTGCAAACAGTGCCCTGCTTTTTGAATCCAACTCACTCCAGGTGGTTCAGCCATATTAGCATCCCCAGTGGTTCCCATGAGACAGGGCAAGAGTGGGCTTTTCATGAAGATTCCAGACTGGTGGGGAGAATGAATCTACGCCTCCAATTCTCTCCTCTCACATCAGCAACCATGGATCTAGGGAAATTCTCTGAATGGTGTTATGCTGGCTCGAGGGAAGAGTGGTGTAGTCTGAAATAACTATTTCTCTTATTGGTTGCAGCCTGTCTCAATTCTGTGGGCCCAGGGGATTTTTGTGCTTCTCCTATGAGTTCTGGTGTATTCAGGGAGGTATTCTTGTTTTTGAATAGTTTCTAGCTGTATTTTTGTTGGGAGAGTTTTGCTGGGAAACTTTCTGTTCTGCCGTTTTGCTGATGTCACTGATGCACACCAGGGCTTAACCTAGATGTCTTTTATTGACTGCAGTCTAGAAAATGTACGACCCTTGTCTCTGGAACAAAACATAGTCTCAAACAAGTGTAGTGCATTTTGTCTGTTTTGTCTCTGAGAGTGCTAATATGGCTGAACCACCTGGAGTGAGTTGGATTCAAAGAGTGGAGCACTGTTTACAGAAATGGAATAGGAGTTGAAACTTAAATATGTGGCTAGCTGATGTGCAAACCACGAACAGAGTAACACCATTCTTTCAGATTTCCATGACAACTTTTTGGCTACTTACCTGTTTATTTTCAGCTAAAATACTTCTAAAACACCTATACATTTCCTCCCAACAACCATAGCATATCAGGAAGGAGGAATTGTTTTGTTCTTCATCTGTAGAAAAGGAACCCAAACTCTAGAGATTAAGTAGGTGCAGTGGACTGACTATGTTAGTGGCTCCAACTCTTTTCTCCTTTCTGTTTCACACCCTTTGTCATGTCACTATTAGGCTCCTCCCCTCTAACTCTGGTCCTAGCCATGTGACTTGCTAGTAGTCACTGGAGTGTTAGCAAACATGTTCTAAGCACAGTCTTAGCAAAGTGCTTGCATCTTTGCTTGTGCCATAGCCCTCTGTTATCACCATGAGAAGGACATGCCCGAATGAGTGTGTTGGAGGATAAGACATGTGGAACAGAGCCACATCACCACAGCAAATTATTGAAGCCACTGTGTATCATCCAACAGCCAGCTGATCCCAAAATAGGTAAGTAAGTTTGGACCAGGTCAACCAAACCTGGCAAAACTTGTGAGCTATTTATATGCTTTTTGTTGTATGCCGATATTTTATGGTTGTTTGTTTTGCAATATTATCATAGAAATAGGTGACTGATACAGTGGTAACAACTATACGTGAGGATCCAGAAACTAAACCAAGATCTTCTGTCACTAATCTCAGCACTCATGTCATTTGGTCCAGTCTTACCTTTTGGCATTTGCACATGCTGTTACCTCTGCCTGGAATTCCACCCCCCCACACACATTTTGTTTTCTCAAAGGTTGGTTCCTGGGTAAACTGCTATTATTTCTTTAAAACTCAGTAAGTATCACCTTTTTTCTCAAACCTTCTCTGATCTTCCCAAGAAAGAGTTAGCCATCCTTGTGGGTACTATGTTTCCCTTTTATCTATTTTTTATTTCGTGAGTCAGGATGTAGTATAAATATTTGTTTATTTGTGTGTATTTCTCAAGGAAATATGTTTCTTTTAAGTCTTTTAGAATCTGTCATAGTGCCTTATTAATATATTTGGAATTATATTAATTGATATAAAAATAACATGGAAGAATAAATGAATGATTTTTTAATGAAATGTTTCAGGCATATTTCTGATTTGGTCTTAACTGCCACCTTAGTTAGGGTCCTTGGGTCAGTGATAGTTTCAAGAACAAAGACCCCATTAATATATAATCTGTATCAGTTGATAATCCCTATGAATAATACAGAAAATGTCTCTACTCCTGTGGAGAAAAACAACACCAAGCAAACCAGATAATTACAGATAATACAAAATTAAAGGAAGGAACGGAAAAATGATATGATGTGATAGAAAGTCAGGTGGGAAGGCTACTTTTGTTAAAGAGTCGTCAGAGATACTAACATACCTTTTTGATACTCTGGTGAACACATTGCTTTTCCTAATTTTATTGCAGCATTTTAATGTTAATTTGATTACATATTTTCTGAGGATGAGGATTGTGTGCATTATTCTTTGTATCCTCCACAGACCCTATGCACAAAGAGTAGCTTGCTGGTTGATTTGTTAATCTGAAGATGTATGCAATAAATCCATTGTGTGTGTGTGTGTGTGTGTGTGTGTGTGTGGTCATTCTTTCAGATTTTAAAATTTTTGCTACTTGCTTGGAGGGTTATTATAAGTCTGTAAATTTTATAAATAAATTTTGTAATTCTTGCTAATATTTCTGAGCTGCTTCTGAGATTTCCCATTTAAAAATGGCAATAGGCTTTATTTTAAAGATATATATCAAAGCATAAATCCTGAATGCTATAAATGTTGGCTGTAATTCTTCCTAGAGAAGTCAAGGATGCATTTAGTTTTGGCCTATTATAAGAAGTATCAGAAAAAATCACTAGAGTGGATTCTGATCCCTTAAATTTGATAAGATCTGTCTTTTTCATTCATTTAGTCTCCTACAACTCTGGAATTATAGGCAAAATGAAGAATTTGGATTTAACAGATAACTACAGAACATTTAAACAGGTCAGCTACTGTGCTAAAAGGTTTTACATACATTATTTCATAATTGTCTGGGGACGGTGCCATGAGGAGTCATAATTTTCATTTCTATTTTTAGGTGAGGAGACTGAGGTTCAGAGTATAAGTAACTTTCCCAGGGTCACAAAACCCAGTTATGGAACAGAGACAAAATTCAAAACCAAGATTTCTGACTTGAAACAGGATTTAGAAATCTTTGATTCTTTTTTTCCAGCAAATGTTTATCAAGTGCCAGTCTCTGTACTAGATTCTGGAAATAGGAAGGTCATCAAAGTGGCATGGGCAGTTCTCATGTGGTGGTTTCCATGACACCCTATGAAAGTTAGAAGAAACAGGGATTAAGAAAAAAAGGAATGAAGAAAAAAGAGTGTGTTTGAGGTACTCTCCTGGCACTCTCCTTTCAAAAGAGCAACTTTGCATTAAATTCCCAGGAGAGCCAGTAGTAGGTCCCAACATCCTCCCTCCACCAAAGGTGCTGTCCTCTGGTGATGGAGTTGACTGCCAATGGGTTGACAAAAAATCCCAGGCAGTAAGCCCTGTATAATGCCCTGCAGCTGTAGTTTTCATGCTTTCTCCAACTCCCTTGAACTAGGGACACCTTGGACTGGTGCAGCCTAGTTAGCTTTCACATTTTCCTTTGAGGAAAACTAGTTGAGTAAATGCGTCTTTTATGAGGCTTGCTTTTCTATCAGCATTTGGGTTTTATGTATTCAAACTTTCCTCTAATATGCATAATTGCTGAAAGAAAAGGGCTGTGGAGCAGCCATGAATTATGGCTTTTATGAGAATGAACATTGCAGTTAATGTTGCAAGACAGCTTCCATTATAATCCTGTTTTCACATCCTTGTGATTTTTTTTAGGGGGGCTGGGAAAGAGGAAGAATTTTCGTTTGAGCTAAAATTTTCCATGGTTTGACTCAGCCCAAGGAGATTTTCAAAAATGAAACATTTTCACAAATGTTTCCATTTATTTTTGAGTTATTGTATTTGGAAAATGCTGTTCATTTTTACTCCAAGTATTATTAATGCATAAAATGTTCCAAGTATGAATGGTTATTAAAACTTCAGTCATCACATGCCACTTGTGTCAGGAATTTCATCTGAGCAAGATTTAAAAGAATTATAATTGCCAAGGACTAGCTTCCTTCTTTTTATAACTATATTGAAGCATTTAGTGCAAAAATGCCTAGAATTTTTCATTATTTTCATAATATCATTGTAATGCTTACTTAGCACAGAGCTTTTCAGAGAAAATAGATTACTTTTACTATTTTTGAATTTATGATGAACTCTAAAGTGACAAAATACATTTCAAAATAATTTCTATACTTATTGAACTATGTTAATTAAGCTTTTAATTTTTTAGCTTACGTCTGTTTTAAGTGTGTCCATTGTAAATTGCACATTGATGAAACTTCAAAAATCCTATCATTTTTTATTTTCTCTGTCCTGTGACAGATAAAATACTTTTTAAAATAATGTTGCTTTCCTAGTAAAACCAACTTTTAGGGAGTGGAATGATTAATACTCACCCTAAAACCAAAAACCATTTTTTCCTGTATCTGAGAACTGCTATTTAGAACTTTAGGCACATATTTAAGTATTTTGTTCTCTTGGTTTGTGTCTCTACTTTGTTTTCACCTTCCACTTATTATTGATACAATTTGATATTCTGAAACATAATCTTTCTTGTATCTATTTTCCATTTTATATGTATGATTGATAATTTATATTTAACTATGCTAAAACTCTATTGTATGTGTACCTCATCACTAAGCTGAAAAAATATTGTCAAGTGTAATACAAATGAAAATTGTATTATCGCTGAAAATAATAATATAATTTAATTGTTTGAAGTAATATTGAAATATTTAGAGCTGACTTGTGTGGTTAGGAGCTCTTTCTGGGCTTTTCCATTTGGTGGCAATCTTTGTATTCTCCAAAATGAATTACATCTTTAGCAGGTAAATATTTCACATTGAATCCTCTTGGTCTCTTTTAAAATTGCGTACCTATTTTTTCATTCAATACAGTGTTTTATTATCTTATCTGATTTTGTCATCTTAATTAGTTACCTTTTGAATATTATCTTACAGTCTTTGAATCTTAAGTTTTTTTTTCTTGTGACTGAAGAGGAGGCATTTTATAGAAAATGGCTTTATGTTTTATCATTACAAATTCTGCTCTGGTACATACACATGCACATATATATATACCTATGCACACACATATCAAATATACATAAGTACTATATTATACATGCTTTATATTTTCCATTATATATTATACATAATATATACATGTATGATATACAAATACTCTATGTTATATACCGTATATAACATATGCATATCATATATATGTGTAACATAATGTGAAATTTACATACATATTTCTTGTTGATGTCTAGTCTATGTTATTTTATACAAATTATTTTCTGATCGTTTCCCACTTTTTCCTCTCATATATCCACACAGCTCTTCCTATCATTCAGAGGGAGACTGATTCCCTGTGTACTCCCTTCAAGGTCTCTTTTTTTTTCCTCATTTACTTTATCTGCCTATTAAGAGAGGTTTCCTCTCCTCTTTTCCTCCATAATTTTAATTCATCATTCAGAATTCATGTTTTCTTCCTCAAGGAGGCTTTCTCTGACTGTGTTCCTCACATCAAGCCCAGTTTGCCAGGTTTCTGTTAATATATTTGGGATAATATTCCATTCTTCATCGTAACACTCATCTCATGGGTATGGTCATTTAAGGTCTAATTATCTTGCTAAAGTGTAAGATTTTGGAAATGGCGGGTAGGGATCTGACTTGTCTGCTATTGTATTCCTAGCCTTTATCTTAATGGCAAACAGACAAAATACATATGGTGACATATATATTTATGGAATTGATGGGTGAATGAATTTCCTTCCTGCCATTCTCATTTAAAAAGTAATTTGTATACTTAAAGTCATTAGTCAATATGACTAGGCATTCAATATAGTTTTTCCTATAATTGCTATAGAGGACAGGTTAATTACAGTACTCAATGGCTGAAAGCATTTCAACAACTTTTGCCCATGGGGAGCTATAATTTCAGCTTAAGATATCATAAACCACTCAAAGATTTCATGTAGTTACCAGAGCCTTGGGCTAAAATTATAATCCTGAAAACCTTCGCTGCCTATTAGTCATTTGGTACATGACCTAAAGCAAAATATATTCTGCAATTTTGGACTTCAGTTTGGCTCTCAGTAGACTGACTACTTGATTTCATATTTGACCTGCAAGATATTCAGCTCCTTGAAAGTTAAACCATCTAAAAACTTATGGTAATTCACAAGTACTAGATGTGCATTGAACAGTAATTAAGTGAGCATATTATGAATTTCTTTTTCTGATAATTGTTCTTCTCAAACTACACTCTCAAAATGCTGAGCAAAGCTTTGAGAGCTGTAAGCATTCTTATCATTGTATGCTTAATATGTTTTTGAATATAGTTTAATATGAGGCAGCACATTGTCCCAAAAATTATGATGGATCTGAAATTAAAACTTGGGTTTAAGTAGCAGCTTGATCCTTGGAAAAATCACTTAACTCCTCTGAGCCTCAGTCTCCTCCAACAGCAGATGCATTTTCTGCTTCACAAAGATGTAGGGAATCAATTGAGGTGATGAAGTGAAAGTGTTTGGGAGGCAATGAAGGACTTTACAAATGATGTGTGTCATAATTATTTGTCATATTAGTGAAGCAAAATAGTCATTTTCTAAAAGGTTGTAAAAATGAAAAGAAAATAATGGGATTAGGATAAAAGACTTGTATTTTCAGTATGTAATACTTTTTCCACTTAACAGCATTCAATTGCAGATGAGAGGCCTGTGTAAAAGTGTGCAGATGATAAAATTATGTGAATACAGGGGCAGCACCTTTCATTTCTTCAGAGAAGCTGGGAAGAGTGATTTGTGAACTGATTTACAAAATGTGAAGAACAGAGTGAGAAATGGGTTAATAATGGTTCAACAAAGAAGCTGATAAAGCTGCTTACTATCTCCACAGGGGAAAGAACAAGGGTAAAAGGCTTGCAAAAGGAATTTTTTCTGAAATTCTTTAGAGGATAGACTGATTTGTGCTGGTTTTGCACAAAGGTAGCATAGATCAGTTTAGCAGGGGGTGGGAGAATTCTGGGTGAACAATGAAAAAGATAATTGTGTAGGTCCATTATCCAAGATGTCAACCAGCTGGGCTAAAATTGTAGCTGGCAAGCTAGGACTCTGAGTCAAAGCATCTCCCAGATGCTGGGAGAAGGCCAGAGCTAAGCAGGATGACAGTATGGAAGTCAATGGAACATTAAGCTTGTTAAGAGGGAATAGAACCAATTATTAGACGTAGTCCTAGAATGTCACAGATTCAAGAGTGAAAGATAAGAGTGGGGCCAGCAGCAGTAGTGATCTGATGTTGGATCATATGGAAACTGACCTATAGCTTTGCTTCTCTGATTGTATTGTGCAGAATACACCTAGGGATCTTGTTAAAATGCAGATTCTGGTTTAGTAGGTCTAGGGCAGAGCCTGAGATTGGGTCTGAGATTCTACATTTCTGACAAGCTCCTGGAGTTGCCAGAACTGCTTGTCCTTGAACCAAACTTCTGAAGAGAAAGGATCCAGATATAGCATCTTAAATTCTCCCTAAGATAGAACAGGATTGGTTCCTGAGCCTTGTTGGGGAAAGACAAGGAAAAAGTCAGTGCTTGAAAATGAGGGAGAAGCAGCTTCACCTATGAGGAGTAGAGAGCGACAGGGATTTGAATCTTGGCAGGAAGCTGTGCCAGTTGCCTTTTTTTCTGGTTTCTTCTTCTATAGATCTGATAATTTGTGTCTTCTCCCTGAAATTCATCAAACCGCCCAGTGATATATATTCCCCTTGTTCTCTATGTAAGCAAAATCATCTCGTCTAAATTAGTAACCCATATAGAAAACAGGAGTATCATCTCTTTC
Source organism: Homo sapiens (assembly GCF_000001405.40). Taxonomy (NCBI): domain Eukaryota; kingdom Metazoa; phylum Chordata; class Mammalia; order Primates; family Hominidae; genus Homo; species Homo sapiens. The sequence continues at coordinate 101,657,059 of NC_000009.12, forward strand.
AGATAACGTTTGTCTTACGTTGAAATGTAAGCAGTATATGTAGGGGCCTTCTGGAGAAAAAATTTCTTAATTCCAAGAAATGACTGTTGGGGGTACTTCCAGAATATGTGGCAGGAAGAAGATTTGAGGTGCCTCTGATATCTTTATATTCTAGTGGTGAGCAACCCTGTTTCATGAGTGCCAATTCAGTAAAACAAAAAATGTTAGTACAATGGTTTTATGTGGAATTTTATTATAGATTCATATTTTGTACAAACTACTTTTTAATTTGATAATTCACAACCTGCTCAATTTCTTTCCTTAACACTAATACCATATTCCGATGAAGAAATGTACTTTGCTTTATTTAACCCAGCTACTCTTGGTGACTATGGATTATTTCTAGCCTTTCAATAATGTAAACAGTATTTCAATGAACAGGGAAGGACTTAATGCTTTGAGCAAAATTTATGTGAGTTAAGCATTAGCAGTGCTGAAGGTAGAGTGGAGTAACGATGAAGAGATTTAACAGTGGGAATATTAATTGTCACCATAGTTCATACTGAGACACTACAGCTTCATTTGGAGATGTCTAACTGCAGGGGAGAAAGAGAAGGAAGGGAAGCTGCCATTTCACAGGGGGTGGTGGCAGGAGAGTGGGGCAGCATCTGAGACTGACAGCATGCCACAGAGGTGGTGGATGGAAGACACTATGCAGATAAGCAACTTCTTCTTTTTAGTTTATTAAGTATCCAGAGGATATATTCTTGCCACAGTACTTCCTTGGGAAAGGGAGTAGTGATGGTAATGGTGGTGGAGGTGTGGGAGTTATTCCTGCCTGCATCTGTGTCTCTTTCGCTTCTTCATCCCAGACTGAATCCTGTACCATTTGTGCAAAGATTCAAATATCACAGCCTTAGCAGCAGTCTCTGCTCTTCAGTCATGTTTGTGGTATGAGCAGCTTTTGCAGCCTAAGTCCAGAGGTGAGGAAAGGACTTGTTGGAATAAATCAGGTAGGGGAGAACATTTTTACTGCATGTGTTAATGAAATAGTGAGTAGGAATAATTTATCATCAGATATTGTTGGGTATGAATCCTGCCTTTACCTTTTATTAGCTATATGGCTTTGGACAAGTCATCTACCTTCTTTTAGCCCAATTTCCTCATCTGTATGGATGCAGTAAAGTTTAAGTGAGGAAAATTCAATTTAAAGCAGATAGCATAGTCCCTAGACTATAGCAGGTATGTAATACATGTTAATATTATTATTTGTTGACATTGACATTTTTATTTTCTGTTCCTGAAATTATATCTATGGTCTTACCATGAAGTGAAATAAGTCTTTTATCACCTTTAGGCTGATGGTTAATCATCATTTAAAACACAAACCATAGGAGATAAATATATACCCATATTCATTTACATTCTTATTTGCCAATTGATTTACCTCCATTAATTATATGCCTTCAGGTCATGCACAGAAAAAAACCTAGTTGAAATATAATTTAAGGAAACATTGATAGGTTTTATTTGGTTGGCATTGTTAAAATTTTCTGTTTTTTGGCATTTTTTAGGCAGCAGTTTTTTGATAGAATATCATGGTAAACTCACTTCTTGAGTTTGAAAAATATTAATAGATTCTGACAAAATATTCTGAAAGTAAGCTATGAATAACATCATATATTTTATATACATGTTATTTGTCTATCTATCTGTCTATCTGTCTATCTATCTATCTATCTATGTATCTATCCATGCAATTGGCTGGAGTAGGCTTGTATTCAGTTGTGATTGAGAAAATTGAGTCCTAGCTGGCCAAATTTCCCATACTGAGTTCACAACAGACCTGAACTCTGTTAAGATTCTTGGCTTGCCACTGGATACACCAGTGGTTGAATCACACTAGCTTCTGATCTGATTAGGGATCAAAATATCAAGTTGAGGCTAAATCATAAAAATCCAACTTTCAACTTAATTTATTTACACTGTGCCTGTGGAGCTAAAATACGTATATTTTAGACACAAAAGGAGCCCTCTTGGGGGACTACCTGCAACTTCATACACAGATAAATATTTATTGAGCATGAAAATAAGATTCTTCACAGAGCAAACCATCATTAACTTAGTTCTCTGTATTCCAAATGTGAGTCCATTTAACCTACATGAACTTTTAAAATAATATTAATGTGTCTATGTGAACACAGAGTTAATAGACATGTATGCTGATAATTGTTTATAATTACCCAAGATATATATGTATATAAATACACACATAAATATTTATAGATATCTTATGACACATTTATTGACATAGAAAGTATGTATCTATGTATTTATTTATACATAGAAAGTATCTATGTATTTATTTATACATAGAAAGTATCTATGTATTTATTTATACATAGAAAGTATCTATGTATTTATTTATACATAGAAAGTATCTATGTATTTATTTATACATAGAAAGTATCTATGTATTTATTTATACATAGAAAGTATCTATGTATTTATTTATACATAGAAAGTATCTATGTATTTATTTATACATAGAAAGTATCTATGTATTGGGATAGCAAATATCTTAATACTTGCTAAGAAGGTTAATAACGTAAACAAAGGTATAAGCCAATTTTCCCTTAATTTAAGAGAAAGGTTGGCAAAAATTTGACATATTCTCTGTTTGTATTAAAATAAAGGAAATGATCTTAGACTTTCATTAAGGCAAACTCAGCACGGTATCTAATTGAAAACACTTTGCTGTATTTAATATGAATTACTGTATCTATTTGAAAGTAATACAACTGCAGTTATTTTAAAAGTTCTGTAAAGATGCCACCTCAAAATTATTTTAGAAGTAGGTGAGAAAATAAATAAATAAGTTACATGTATATTTGTTCAGTTTTTGACTTATCAATCTGAACTAGCAAAGCCTTGATGATTTTCCTATGGTTTCTTGAATTGGAGAACATTCAGGAAGGGAAAGAATATACCATTCCCCCCACCCTGCCAATTTCCACTAATTGTCGTGTACTGTGTGTCTGATCCATATAAGACCCACTGAATGATTCTAATCCAACTCCATAATATACCACCAGGGATCCAAAACCACCTAGGCTGGGGCAGCATCATCTGTCTCGTATTCCCTCACAGTGTCTTCCTACTCAAGGATCCTACATCTCTGAGACTCGGTTCCACTATGGGCATCATGGTCTTAGGTGTTATTTGCTTTAATGAAAGCAAATTATATACAATGATCTATGCAAAATACATACAATAATTATATACAATGTCCTGGCTCAAACACTCTGGGTCACCTTTGGACATAATTTCAACTGCAAATGAGAGGTGCTCCCACCCTCTACCTCAATCCTACTGGTCTCATGTTGGCCACCTCTGCTTCAATAGATGTCATAATCAAGTCCATTTACTTACTCAATAATTATCCAAATGGGGAGTTGCCATTTGCTTAGGCCCTAGGAACAGGGTGCATAAGAAAGATTTAGTCTGTACTCTCATGGAGTTTATAGTCCAGTGGTAGATAGAATAAGAACTTCAGCTGGATATTTCACATCCATTATCCTCTTTAATCTTCTCACATGAGAAGACAGAAGCCATGAGAGGCTAAGTAACTTGCAGAGCTTCACAAAACTAATATGTAATGGAATCAGACACCAAACAGAGCTGTCCAATGCCAGATTGTCCTTTATAGCATACCACATTGCCCCCAACAGGGGTTTTTCTCCTATTTGTTCCACAGCATCTAGTATAAGAATGATTTTGAAAGGTCATATCAAAAACGTTGATTTCAAACTAATCACGTCAGAGCACTATACTCTTATTCCAATGATGCTGCCATTTTTCATTCATTAGTCGAACAACATTTACTGAATATTTACTGTTCACCCAGCACTCTGCTAGGTTCTGAGGATACAGTGTTAAGCAAGATAAAGTGGGACAGTTAACAAACAGATTGCATGACAATTACAGATTGTGTTAAGTCCTAGGAGGGGAATAAACTGGGTGGAAATGAAAATTTGCTCCTGAAAGCCTCTGTGGACAGTATAAGTGTCTTTAAAATGTAAAAATTTTTGTGTGGGAGTGGTACTCATTGAGGTACTCATCTCACTTGAGGCCGCAGACAGCAGCAGCACATGTGGAGCAAATATTGCTATTGTGATATTGTCACCACTATTGTCTCATGTCTGAAATATTCTCATTCTTACTTGGGTTATTAAGTATTTTCCCATTACATAAATAATACATGAATGTTGTAAAAAATATGAGGTAGAAATAATACAATAAATATTTCCTTAATTATACTGCCCAGGTAACAGTGCTGTGATATTTTATATACGTTGCATTATATGCATTGCGTGATATTTCCTTCCAGTCATGTCCCTTTATAGCATGTACATATGCATATTACAAAATTGAAAATGTAGTATGTGGTTTTGTATCCTGACTTTTCACTTAACATTATATTTTGATTTTTTGACACCTTAAAAGGCTCTTCAATATCATTTCTTCAGGCTGCATTTTATAGCATATGGAATATTATAAGTTAGTAATTGTGCTACATATTGGACACTTACATGGTTTCCAAGTTTTTGCTATTTTAAGTAAGGCTGCAGTGACTCTTTGCAATAAGTTGTTGTCCACATACTATATTATGTGGACAGATTCCTAGAAGTGAAAGTCAAGGGCGAAAGGGCATAAACTCTGTTAAGGCTCTTGATCCAAATGGCCAAAATGATTTATGAGCATTGCATAAACCCAGCTTCCCAGTAATAGTGTTTGCTGGTGCTCATCTTAATGTGCTTCCACTAAGGTTGAGAAATATCACTAAAATAAATCTAATGTGATGGGCAAAAATGTCTCATTTCTGTTTTAATTTAGCATTTCTTTAATTACAGGTATGATTTAAATTTCTTTATTAATTGTCGCATTTATTTATTTCCTGAATTACTGTTACTATTCTTTATTTATTTGATTTTAAGGTTACTTATATATACCTTGCTATCTTCCCGAAAAGATTTAAGGCAGCTTAAAGGTCGCATAACATACAAGGTAGCAAAAATTAAAACAGAGTGAACTAAGAAAGAAAATACAAAGTCAGGAATGATGCTTAAAATGCATACCACAATGACAATTAATCTGTTTTTAGTAGGCAAGAAATTTGTCTCCAAACTCCTCTCTATAAGTTAGCTCAGTAAGGGAATCTTGTCACCGTGTTCACCTTGACAATGGGTGGGGGGAATGATTGTTCAAGATAAATATAATTATTGGTATTAAAATATGAAGAGATTTTAACTATTGTTACTATTATTTTGTGCCCCTTAGGTGTCAGACACTATGCAAGGTGCTTTACTTGAATTATTTAATGTAATCTCTGTAACTAGTTAATGGAGGTGGGAGTGCTATTTAACTTCATTTAAAATAGTGCTCGGCATGTGGGAAATGGTCAATGAATATTAGCTTTTCTTTTATTATTACCAATATTAAGCATTTCAATATCTAGAAAAGTAAATACCTTGAGCCTTTTTGAAAAGATTAACATTAATATATTATATGTAAATATACTAATATATGTTTTTAAAATATTAATCAAAGAAACAAAAAAGTCCTTTGGGATTTTGATTGAAGTTGCCTCAAACCTATAAACTAATCAAGGAATTTTGACATCTTTAAGTATTCAGTCTCCCAACTTGGTAATATGGTAGTTATTTTATCCCAACTATCTTTTATGTGGTGGTACATTAACAAATTTTTTCTTTTAACCCAATTTTTATAGAGGACATTTCCATGATCTATCATGAACTTTTGTTGCTACACTGAATAGGATATTTCTCCTATTATGTTTTCTATTTGGAAGTACATGGAGCCTGTAGGAAGTACAGCTCTCCCTACAGTATGACATTCTTTGGATTTTTCTTCTTCTGAGAAATGGTTTATCTAGAATGTCTAGTGATCAAAACCCTCTATCTTGTTACTTGTCTGACTCTCATTCCCATTTTCCTGGCTTTCCAATGTCATAGTTGATGAGACAGTTGCACTCCCCTCTGTCTAGCCTCGGGGATTCTGCACCTGCAGCCCCATCCCCCTAAAATGCTCTTCTCTAACATCCTCATCAACTTCCCTTTAACTCATTTATCTCATTCAGATCTTAGACAGACCTTCTTTCCCCATTCAGATCAGGTCTCCTGCCAGGCTCCTAGATTATGCTATATTTTACTTCTCAGTAATTTAGCATGGCTTAAATCAATCATTGACTAATTTATGTGCTCCTTTGATTAATGTTTCTCTTTCCTACTAAATTCCATGTTGCAAGGACAGTGTCTATTTTGCTTACTCTTAAATTCCCAGGCACCTCGCATGGTGCTTGGGCTAGAAGTTGCTGTTATTGAATGAATTAAGAAAGAATGAATGAGTGGATTGGTGTAACTCAGTTTCTTTCCCCTCACCTCAAATTCCATTTCAGTGTCTTGTTTGCCTTAGAGTTATGGCATCCTTCCCTTCTTTGTGGCAGCTTTCATTATATGAATTCATATGTTTTATTGGGCAGCCACAAGCTGTTATATGACAATCAATAAAGGCGTTTTTTCTTATTTTGGGAAATGCTTCTCATTTCCTACTAAGGCTCTGCCAATGTCCTTTTTTTTAAATATTTTTGGTTAAAGTTTGCCCTTGCCCTCACAGCATGTCTATTTAATTTTTAATATTTACTTGAATGTTCGCCAGGACTGTGTTTCTAAAACAGTACTGTCATTTGCCTGTACAACAATGATACTAGCTTCCTATTCCCTCTACAGAGCTGAATTTTTCTTTTTCTTTTTTTTTTTTTATTAGATACTTCTCAGGGCTAAAAGGGGAGAAGCTGGAAAAGAAGTACTAGAAAGTCCACTAAAATCAGCAAATAGCTAATTTTGAGTGTTCATGTATCCTTTCAGCTGAGCCAGTTCAACTCCATAAGGGGAAGTGGAGCTTTATTTTCCAGTGAACTTTATGTTCTGTGAAGTTATTTTCTCATCCCATCTTAGATACCAGCAGAACATATGCCAATGGCTGAAATGTCCTGTGAGTGCCCAGATCCACTCCTTAGACTGCAGACCCAAAGAGAAACCTCACTGGATAAAAACACGGCTGCAGTTTCTATCCACTTGTCAATCATCCCCAAATGCTAAAATAACATGATTTGGATGATGAGGTAGTAGATGCTTGCTTCCATCTCTCTACTTTATTTTCTGCATTGCCTATAATGAATAGTGCTATTTTACATTGAGGAAATATCCAAATAAGTTCTATTAAATATATCACTCACAAATTCCTGCTTTCATGGTCTCATGCTTCAAGAGCCCACCCACTCTGAAGCGTGGAGCTTGCTTCCCAGATGAGTTGGTAGGAGGCCGTGAGAAGCAACATATATTACTTTTATTGTAAAATAAATTATTCTAGCAAAAAGAGTTAAGTGAGGATAGAATCATCCTCTTGAACCTCATTTGCACAGCAGGCCAGTTCCTCTCTCTTGGGGTTATCTGCAAGAGCAGCCAGGTACAAGATTATTTTTTTCTTCTGACCCCCTATCAGGAAAAAAAATTTCAACCTCCTGTGGCTGCTGCAACATGCAGTGAATCATAAGTTTATCTTTCTTGCGCAGGCTCTTGCTTTTAATTTTATTTCTGATTCAAAGTAGTTGGTTAAAGCCAATGAATTTCCGCCCTAAAATGGTGATAAAATATTCACCCTCTTAATTCTTAACAGTTTTATTAATTGTGTTAAATATATAGCCAGCATTCTAAACAATTAGGATCAAGAAGAAAAATGGAGCTATTACATTCATTGTAAGTTATCTGCTATCAGGGTTACAGATACGTAGCCAGGGCTCAACTTGCAGACAGACGGTGTATAAATACAGAGGATCACAAATCTTACCTTGTAAGTCAATAGCTTTTTCATCCGAACATATTTTCCCATATAAATATTTTATAAGTGGTGTTTAGATTCCAAGACTAATACCAAAAAAAAACAGCTTAAATTTTGAGCTAGAAATATAAACTATTTACACACAAGTAAGAAAACACTGTTATTATAATTTAAAATATTACATGCAACAGAAATGTAGTTTTAAGAAAATAGTAGATAGAACTTTGGGGAGTTTCATTTTTAGATTTGGGGTGTCTGGATCGCCTCTAAGAGGTAAAAACATCAATTCCTTGGAGCACATTTCTCAGTAAAATTCTTCTATTATTTTCAAAGTTTTAGGGCGCACAATTATAACAGAAAGACTTGGAGAGATTATCTCAAGATAACCAAAGAAGAGTTAAAGGAGAAAGGAGGCAGGTGTTCAAGAGCATTAATGGGGAAGCACAGCAGGCAGGTGTTCAAGAGCATTAACGGGGAAGCACAGCAAAACTTTCTTGAGATGAATTCACTGAGGTGAGTTTTATGTAGTGAAAACGGGATGAAAATGGCAACATGGTGTAAGGGGAACCATCCTAATATCCAGTAGATAAAAGGATATGAAGAGAAATAAAGCAGATAGTAAGTCAGTGGTGGAAGAATCTTTAGAGTGTGGCCATTACTCCATATAAAATGTCACCTCCCATTGAGATTGGGGGAATTTTCGGCTTACGGCAGAAAAACAAATGTCCCAAAAGAACCACAGAGATCTATGACTTCTCCATAGGCACTAAATTCTCCCTGATTAAAATTAAAATGCTATCAAAGTGAATTTGAAAAATGAAAAGGGAATTTTGAAAAATACTCAAAAAATTAAATCACATAAACCTATTACTTTCAAAGGCAAAAACTGCAATTACTTTTGCACCAACTTAATAGTTTCATCAGACATTAAGACACATGCATGTATGCATGCATGCTAATTCTCATGGTTTGTTCTGGGCATGAATCTGCCTCTATTTTTTTCTGATAACCACTGACAAGAAGGTAGGCATATGATTCCCATAGTCACCTCAGAAAATTAGAATTCAAAGTATAGAGTGGCATTTGTGGAGCTGCATGAATTTATGAGTCACCTTTCCTCTTCATCTTTCACCTCGTCTCTCCACAAATCCTATACACCAACATCCTGGGACTCCTTATTCATGGTGCATTCCTTCAAACAGAAATTTTTCTCCCTATCACCTTCTCCCCTGGGGATCGCATACTCCCCTAGGGCTTTAATAAACAGTATGGCCTCCCTCTGCCAGGATTCTTACTAGCTTCAATCTCTCTCTTGAACTCTGGCTCCATGTTTCCAATATCTGTTGGATTTAACCTAAATGTTCAAAACAGATTTAAAAATGCCACGTATGCTATAGAGCTGGAGGCCATTACTCTTAGCAAACTAACACAGGAAGGGAAAACCAAATACCACATGTTCTTTCTTACAAGTTGGAGCTAAGTGATGAGAACTCATGGACACATAGAGGGGAATACACACTGGGGCCTATAGGAGGGTAGAGGGTGGGAGGAGGGAGAGGATCAGGAAAAACAACTGATGGGTACTAGTCTTAATACCTGGGCAAGGAAATAATCTATACAACAAACCCCCATGACAGAAGTTTACCTATGTAACAAACCTGCACATGTACCCCTAAACTTAAATTAAAAGTTTAAAATATGCCATGCATGAAACTGAACTGACTACCATATTTTCTAGCCCGTGAACTGCTGTTTCTGTGCTTCCTTGAATGTACCAGCATCTTCTCAGACACTCAGGCCTGCAGCTCTGAAGGTGTGACTCTTTGTTGCCTCTCCCAACCAATTAATTGCCAAGTCCTGCTGATTGGAATGCAATATTTCTCACATCCTTTCTTCAGTGACCAAATCTATATCAGTGACCAAAGCTATAATTTCAGCTCTATTCATTTTCTTTCTCTTGTAATCTTGTTTGCCTGCTGCTGAAGCAGCCATCCTAAATGGATACCACTATACTGTGCTATTCTATTGTTCAAAAATGGCCATGGATCTATATTGAAGTTCACTCTTCTTAGCCTGACATCAAAGATCCTCTGTTATCTCAATTAAGCTTACTTTTTCCAGACTTGGATCTTATCTCCTTCCACTCCTGTAACCTATGCTGTAGCTAAATTAGATTCCTCATATCTTGCCTGTGCTTTATACTTCGTATTACCTATATACTTTATACTATATACCTATATACTTTATATTATAAGGAGCAGAATGAATTACTTGGAGGTAATACATTATATTACAAAATAGGTATACTTTATAGGTAATATAAAGTATTACCTCCAAGCAATTCATTCTGCTCCTTCACTTAGGATGTCCATTTCTCCTCCCTGGACACACATTCTGAATTCTTACTATTCTTTAAGAATAGGCACAAATATTACCTTATTAATTAAACTTTCTTCCATTGTAATGAGTTGAAGGTGATCATTCTTTCCTTGAACTTGGACAGTACTTCATCTGTTGCTAAACTTTGGCGTATTTGTAACCTTCTAAGTTGCTTCTCCTTTTGTTTATGTCTTTTCTTCCCTAATTGATTGAAGTCAAACAATTTGACTCATTTACCTCTGAATTGCTCTACCTTATTTAGTATAAGAAATGGTATAGGCCCTCCTCAAGGAATTTAGCATTAATAGGAGAGAAAAGCACTCATGTGAGTAACTACGGTATAATAAGAGTACATTCTGAGTGACTGAGGGATGTGGAAATAATTTTTATCTTGTATCTCTGTTTGAGAGTGAGGACATTATGTAGTCCACATAATATGACATATTTGGATGAAAACTAAAAAATTCTATCACAACAATTATTCCTCCTAAATCCCGGGGTCAAACATTGCTTAGCTAAGTAATCTGGGTGTCTTTTTATGGAAAGAAGTGAACCTACAAAAGAGATATTTTACCGTAGAAACAACGCTAGTACACACATGCACATTTTTAGGAAACTTAGTGGAAATTCATTTATTATCCCAAATTGAAAATAGTTTAGATTTAGGTTTGTCCCATTTCATTAAGAACTCACTAGTTGTAATGCAAAGTTGACTTTGTCCAGTTCTACTGGCTTTGTGTTGTGGACCGGGTTAGACTTATTAAAAAATTTCACTCTTTATTCTGGTAGAGTCAGAGATGAAATGATTATTTCTTTTTGCTTAAAAATAATTTCACTGCTGCGTATAGCTTGTCTTTATAATTTTATTTTTAATACTTTAGCATAATCACTCTTACAGATTTTCATGCATAGCATCCCTGGCTTAATTTTGGCAATCACTCGTTCTGATAAATAAAGCTCTAGTTAGTATTGTGTTCATCTTTTTACATAAGATAATGGCCTGAAATCTCCACAACAGGCATATATTAGATTTTTTTTTTTACTAGATCAGACTAAATACTTTTAATTTTGAGCTAATAATTTAGGAGTCACTTTGTTGAGATTCTCACAAATAATCTAAGTTTCTAGTGAGGCTGAAAACCTTCAGAAGATTTACAGGACTCCTGGGGCAAAGAATAAACAAAGGCTGCTGATGCCAGTGCAGAATGTGAATGCAGAAGCATCACCAACATCTCCCTTTAGGGTGATGCATTTATTTATGCTAATGATTTTATTTGTGTTCACTGAATTCCAGCTCCTAACATAAAGCCCTGAGTATTCATTGAGAAGTTACAAAATTTCTTGCCTAGTCAATGAGGCATTGTTGGCTGAATCCTCTCATGAGGTTCATGTCACTTATCAGAAGGTTTGCAATATATGGGTCAAATTTCTTACATTCTTTTGGTTGCAAAACAGAACTTACATCCAACTGAAACCATCTATGAAAAATCTTTAAAGCTGCCACCAGCCCTCTGGGGCATTCTATCATTTAGTAAAGATAGCTACAAATGTCCTACTTGTTGATGGTCTATGAAATTAATTTTAAATGTTTAATAGTAACTTATAGTAAATAGTTCAATACATTGAGACTTGGTGTGACAAGGGGCATTTGGAAAAGCCTGTGAATGTTTTATAATATGAAAGGCTCAGCTTAGCTTAAGTTGCTTTAGACATGGTATGTCCTGAGTGTGCCTGCTGAATTGAACCTTTCTCCAATCTCTACTTAATGTATCCTACATGTTGGAATGCACTGCAGCTTCAGATCTGCACTCTGTTTCCCATCAGGACTGCAGTACTCCCCTGAGCTCTGTTCTAATTGCCCTGGTCCTTGACAGTCCCCTCTCTCTAGTCCTATTGGGCTGGACTAATTTTCTGTACCCCAGCTCACTTAGAGGGGCCCTGGTTCAATCCAGAGAGAACATGGAATGGCTGTCCTTACCTAAGTATTACCTGCTTTGGCTGTTTACCTGCACTCTACACTTCCTCTTCCTTCTTCCCTTAGGGTCAGATGTCTAGGATATCAAGGGTACCCTGGATAGACAAAATCTTCTTGAATGTCCTTGGACTGCTGGCACTCTCCCTTCTATGCAAGGTAGTCAGCTGAGCAGCTCCCCTTACTTTATAGGCCTTAGCTAATTCTGCCATCTCAGTTAGTCTGATACTCCTTGTTCTACACTCAGTGAGTTCCCTAGCAGTTGACTTTGGTGCTTATAATAAAATTTAATTCTTTCCATTGTATCACTTTTTAGTGATGAAAAAGATTCTTTGCTATTTAAAATATGGATCTTCCAATTTATTTTTATTAATTCCCAAGATAAGTAATTCATCAGTTTTTAAGGTGTGCTTTGGGTGAAAATACCTTATAAGACCATTCCCTGATAGGTGTGCTATCTATCAGATGGTCAAATAATACAAGGAAAAGATGCATTAATAGATATTTCTATCAGAAAGACCTACTCTAGAAAAGACACTCCCCAAAACTTCTCAGTCTTTTTGTTTCGTTTATGAAACAAACAATGGAATATTTAGTTAAACCAGGCAACAGACTTTTGGACTAGTCTCTATACTTGGCTGAGAGAATATTCCTGTGTTAGATGGAAGAACATGAGCATACTACAGCAGAAGATACAACATACGGAATTATAATGGACAATCAAGAAAGCTAAAGTAAAATGAAGTATTACCTTGGGGTCATGTATTCCAGAAAGCTCTTCATAGATCTTCTCACCTACCATGACAGCAGCCAAGTTTGCCGTGTATGTGGAAAGGCAAAACATACAGAAAATGGCCCAAAGGTTCATTAGAAACCTTCCAGTCCAACATTTTGGAGGTTTGATGGCCACTGTTCTGCCAAACAAGAGGGCATAACAGATGTTCAAGGCTGAAGAAAAGGAGAAGACTTTACTTCTATTTCGCCCCTTGGGAGTCAAACCAAATGGACTCTTCCATTCATACAGAGTGAGGAAGACGGCAGTGATGTGCAGAGCCACAAAAATCCCCAGCCACATTGTCCAGTGGAGTGGCCACATGAAGGCTCCAATGGGAGCTGCTGTATCTCGGGTCCTCACTAAGATGCCCAAGCTGGTGGAGAAGAAAGGGCTGGTGAAATCTATCACCTGGCTCCGTGCAGTATTGATGCTAAAGGAAGTGACTGCCATGTGGGCAGTCCCTCTCAGGAGATCACCCACTAGCCCAGTCCAGTGCCCATTTTTCCATGCTCCATACTTTCCATCCCCTACAATATAGAGGTCGAAGTCAAAGTTCATGTCTTCTGCTATCTTTTCCAGCAGATCAATGCAATATCCATAGCAGCACTTCTTGAATTTAATGGGCACTGTATCATTACTGCTATGGAGGCTGCTAAAAAGGCTGTCCAATGTGGAAGAGTCATTAGTCATGGGGTCTAGACAGAGTTGGCCAGCAGGGCACAAGCCTTCATCATCTACCTCCCTTGTGAAGACAAAAGGATGCTCAATCAGGGTAACCACTCTCAAGTGTAGCTTACTTGGATGTTGGAAGTGGGTTTTGTGTCTCTGGGCCTGCTCTGGCCATATTCCATAGTCCATGACAATCTTTCCCCCCTGCCAGCTGCCCAAGCGGGTCCACATTGGCTTTCCCATGGGGTCATGTTGAAGATTCCAGATGAAAAAGTTGTTTTCTGAGCTGACGATGGTGGAACCTTTTACTCTGATGGAACCACTGAGGCCTCTGAAAGTGGTATTGGCTAGAAACCTGGGAAAGAGGAGCAAAGGCAAAAAGTAAGAAAAGCAGTGAGGCCTAAGATAGGAAGCAGTGTTCAGCTTTGCTTCCTTGTCTTAATAAAAATAAATTCGAATTTTTATTTAAAAAGACAGTGCCTATAATTTCTTCAAATGTTAATAAGCTGGACTCATTCTCTATTATAGGAGTAAAGTCCTATTGCACTAAGCAAATGAGATTTCACTCTCAGGTTCTAATATTCTAGCCAGGTGCTTGACTCTTAGTCTTACTCCAAATGTTTTAATTCCTAGTTAAGAGATGTGTTAACCATTTTCTGTTGTAAACTGTTAATTGCATATTCTCACAACTTTTCAAGCTATGGAGGTTTTCAGCATCTTTAACATATCCTATTTCTATTGTTGACTATGTTCAATTGTAACTACACCTTCTATTTATCTATGTATCTATCGATCTATCTAGATATTTGGCACAGGGAATGAGATTAAAAAGTATGCATATACTTTAATAATTGCTTAAACACTGCATTCATAACATTAGAAAATAGCCAAATCTTGTTACCAATGTTTCTTCTTGTGGAATGAAATCAGTTAACATAACTGTCCCCGTGAGGCTAGTTGAAGCTGCATGTTGGATCTCATCCATGGAACAAAGGAAAAGATGATAAATCAACTTGCACTTTTAAGGATAGCCTCAGGCTAGCCTCCCTCCAAGTCATTAGAGAGAAACAATTGGCCCTGGTTCTAGAGAGAGCTTATGCCAGAAGCCACAGAAAGGAAAATTACCAACTAAATAATATAGTGATTCCTAACCCTGTGAACTAGGGCACTTACAGTATATGTTCTGATATGGACTAGACAGAAAAACTAGACTAATATGGCTTGGTCTTAGCCTATGTCTTTTTTGAGTCTGGGAAGATTAGACAGTAAGAGGTAACATATAAGCTTGTGGCATATTAATGGCAATAATAAAGATTAATGTGGCTTGTGGCCTTGTGTTAGAATAAAAGCCCAGGCTTTGGCATCAGATCCACCCCCATTTGAATATTGGTCTAGCCACCTGCTAACATGGCCCTTGAACAATTTACTTGAACAATTTACTTAACTCTATGCTTTAGTTTTGTCACCAGCAAAATAGAGAAAATACTTCCTTCATTACAAGAGTTGGAAATAATTTATGTAAAGCACATGCTACATCTAACTTGGAACAAATATTCCAGATATGGTAACTCTGACTTAATGTCATTCAAGTTTTTTTCAGTCAAGGCTGTCTCCAGGTTACTTTTTCCAATAATTTTAATACAATTTTAAAAGTGGGAAACACAAAGTATTGCATTATGATAAATCCATGGCAGTTACTCAAGACACATTTCAAATTAAAAGAAATTAAATTGAAATGTAGAGTGGAACACAGTAGGTATTTTGAAAAATCAGATGATGTAAGTGTAGGCTCTTAGCAAAACATATTCACCCATTGCCTGTCACAAATATTACTCTATAATTTACAAATACAAATAGAAGAAATAAGACATTATGTTGCCACAGAAGGGACATAGAAAAATCAGAAAGTGTGAAGTACGTACTAATTTTCATTAGAGATATAAATGTAAATCACATTTGAAGATGCTACTATCAATCAATGCAGTGAAACTGTTCATTTTGGAAGATTGTTTGTAATGGTAATTATTCATGTTAGTACTCCCCAGTGGGATTCTACCACTTAAATTCTATTTTGCAACAAGTAATGAAGTCTCAGCTATCTTAGATTTTGAAGTAGTTTTCTGCTTCTTTAGAGAAGGAGCCAAATCATTAAAATATACAGATTAATCAATTGATAATTACCTAGGTACTATAAGGGAAAGCTGATACACTTGTTTATAAGAAATCTACTTTTAGATTTGTTAAAACACACACATATACATACTTGCTGATATAAGAAATAAACAGTTAGTAGTAAGTAGGTTAATTTCTTCTGGTCAATTTACTGATCAGGAAAGTAAAGAGGAAGTTGTGGAAAGAGGAACCCTTCATTATTTTAAGAATGTTTGAGGCTTAATGATTATAGATTCTTAACTGGATGGACCCTTGAGAGAGTACCTTTGACCAAATATATGCTTAAACCATATCAGAAAAAGGCACTAGAAATCTTCAGAAAATTTCCAGAGATTACACAACTCTGTCATTCCAGTAAAACCTATTACTGATTATTGGTATTAAATAACATTTAAGATGGCCATGATAGAGGGACAAGGCCCAGTTGTCTTTGAGCCAGTCATTTTCCAAAGAAGGCAAATCAATAGGGACCTGAATATCTCCAGTTTTCCCAGCCCAGAAAATCCAATGCTTGTTTCACTACTGGCTCCAAAAAATTGGGTCCCAGAGAATCACCATTTATGACAGATTATTTGTGTCTGTTTCATTTTTAGTCTTACGATAAGGGTGAATCAAAATAATCTCATGAAAGCTTTAATTATAGTCACCTGTACTAATGGAATGACAATGCATAGCAAAATATAAATGCTCACTAAATTAGTTAAAATATCAAAAGGCTGAAATCCTGATTTTGCTTAAATTGAATTCCATCACATTCCTTTTTTATCTTGCCCTTTACTCTTCTTGGATAAACAAGGAGAAAAATCAGGAATAGTTTTACTGGCACCATAAACTGACAAACTCCTGGGCACTCTTCCAACTCTAGAGTTACAGGGATGAAAGACAAACTCATTGGTCTCAAGGAGCTCAAGAAGGTCAAAGTCTAATTCTGGGGAGAGAGAAAGTGAGCAGGCAATTCAGACCCGCATAATGGGCATCATGATAGAGGTAAATCTGGTGTCACTGGAACAGAGAGCAAGAGCACCTGCACATTCTACTATAGGGTGCCAAGGAAAGTTTCGTAGAGGAGGAAGTGCCAGAGCTGAGTCTTGAAGAAGGAATTACAGTAAGCCAGGAAGAGAAGCTGGGAAATGATGTTGTCATCTCAAGGAAATACAAATACAAAGGCCAGAGACAGAGAGTGTGAGCTGTTTGACGATAAGAGATGAAAAATAAGGAGGGAGATGAGGATAGGAAATGAATTACATCAGATCTGAGGCTACAGTGAAGACAACAAGGAGGCATTGAGGGGAATTTGTCTGGGGGGAGTCATGATCATTCGATTTAATTTTACAATGATTTTTTTCCTTGCTAGTTATATAGGACATAGTTTGGAAGGAGGAGGGGACTGAACATAAGTCCACATGTGAGGAACAATGCTTCTTCCTTCTTTCTTTTGCTTCCTCTTTTACTCTCTCTCTGCTAGTCTCATAAAGGGCTTAAGGTGGTAAGGGCTAAGGCAGTAGCAGAAATGGAGAGGAGATGGTATAATCAAGAGATATTTTGTTTTCAAAAAGGAAAGCAGTGATTTAAGAGGGCCAAATGTACAGGGTTGCAAACTTTACTAAGAATGTGTGGAACTCAGCTTGACAGAAGGTCATATAAATAAGACCTGTTAGTATTTAGTTGAATATAAACTCAATGTAAGCCCATATAGCAATGTGGGTATAAAAAAGTAACCTTAAGTTCCTTTAATAAAAATTTAGAGCCTGGATCAAAGGGAACAGTAATACTACCATTCTCTGTGCTGATCAGATAACTGCTCCAGCCTGGATATGAACTCTAAACAAATCTTCCAGAGTCAGGAATGTTATGAAGAAAGGTAAGAAGGTGGAAAATGTAAGAGGAGGTAGTAAGCATAATAATCGGATTGGAGAGCAGGGTAGAAAAATATTAGAAAATAACATAGGGAAAGCAGGTTGAAACTAGACTATGGAGGCCTCATGTACCTGTTTTATGACATTGGATTTTATTTTAGTAGGAAAAGGGGAACCATGAAGATTACTGAGTAGCATAATGACTTTAACAGAGATCTACATTAGTTAATATTGGTCTGGAGGCAAGTAAAATGCACATATAGGAAAGAAAAATGGTGACTAAGAGACCACTTACAATATCTTTGTCATGGTTTGATAAGGGCGTGGATCTAACTCCATGAGTGAGAACCTTGTTTAGTGAGTGTTTAACAAAGTAGTTCAGGTATTCATCTTTTTTATCAACAAACCTCCCAAGATACCATTCTCCTTAAAAGAATGAGGCTTACTAATGAATTTTTCTTTATTAAAATCTCCCAATATGTCACTAATTAAGAATACGTAATTTGCATAACAGCTGAGATAAAATCTGCACTTTGCAAATTACTTAGAAAATGTTTTTGAGACAGTTCACAGTATAAGCAAGATCAATATTTAATATATTTAATATATATTTTAGAAGCCATATTTGCATGCAAAATGTTGACATCCTAATTAAAGTATTTTCTTATTTATTCATCATAAAATGAGCAACACATCACACATTCAATCATCTATTTATTCCACAATACTCACTATGTGCCAGGCACTGTCCTAGGTGCTGGGGGTGTAGTAGTGAAGTAAGACCACAATCTATGCAGCTTATATTCTATTGAAGGAGACAGAATACATATGATAAATAGGTAATACGTGTAGGATTTAGACCTGGCACAATGTTGACATAGGAGGGGTTTTTTTTTTGTAATTTTAAAAGGTTTGAGCTTTGATTTATTGTATTTTTCACATATAAAAATCTGCTGCTTAAGTTTATAGCCTGTTTTGGATGCTGAAATACTGTCATTTTGGGTAAATATTCTATGTGCTAATCAAAATGGGTGTACATTCTCTGTGAAATGTTAACTGCAGTTAATACATTGATTATCTTAATGTATTAATTACATTAGTCATGTGCTATTTTTACTTTTTGTAACTTGCCTAAAATTTGCTAAAGTTAAATAAAAATCTTCCACTACAAATAATGTTGCCCTTTTCTTAGAGATTTTAAGAATTGTTGCCCCCCTGATTTTTCTTGTCTTATTTGACACATCAAGTTTTATTAGTATTATGTTTTTATGTTTATTATGAATTTGTATTTTTTCTGGCTGTGGAAATAGCTCTGAAATAACTCCATTGTTTTCAGCCTTCATTTCTGTCTACATATTATCACTTTTGTGTTGTTTAAATGCATCACCATCCTCAAGTGTCTTCTTTCATGACCTAGTTATTTATAGACCATATATTTATTTCTACTTCAATCATTTTTCACTCATCAATTTGTCTCTTTGTATATCTACCTCTCTTTTTTTTCTTTTAAATTGCCCTATTACCTTTTCTTTTTCCCCCTATTTATTGCCTTCCATTAATCATATCTGTCTATGTGAATATCTATTTTGTACTACAAGGCCTTAAAATTAATTTTTCCCCCTGGGAACTGTCTTTGTATCATTAAACATATCAATATCCTCTTTCTCTTATATCTTGAAAACTAAGCTGAAGTTCTTTTCCCATGATCATCTCATCATATTTGATATTTCCCCCGAGGAATGAGGGATTTACTCATGCTGCATAAAGCTCTATCAATTTTTTTTTTCTGTGAGAACTTCATTTTGATTTTTTGCTTTTGCCTGATTAGGAATCTTTAAGAATATTATTACTAGTAACATTCTCTCAAACTCCCTTCCTACCAGGATCACCTAATTCTTGTTAGGTTTACTGAGTTTACTTGTCAGGATTACTTGCTCCTATACATGGAATTTAAATATTTGCTTCTTGGTTACTTTTAATTTAGCTTGCGATCTACCAACTATTGGCATGTAGTAGAAAACCCAGCTCAATAAAGTCCTTATCATTTGAGACAAAGGAATATTCTTAAACCTTCCCCTTTTCCTTTTTTTTTTTCTGTGAGAAAGAGAAACTTGACATAGATGTTCAGTAATCCTATCTTTTCTTAATGTGATTCATATCTACGACGAATCTTCTAATTAAAAACTCACATTCTCCAGAGTTCTACACTTTTGCATTTGTCACAAGTTCACACTTATGTAGTCTTTTTTTTTTTTCTGCTCTTTTTCATTCAAGAGCCCTAAGCTATTCTCTCTTTGGATTGTCTTTTAGAACTCTTACAGCCAATTTTGATATTTCACAATGTCCATAGACCTCCAGTTATCTGAATTATTTACTATACATAGTTTACATTTGTATTTTTCCATGTGTATATTTCTTATTTTTTCAGGGCTTTCCCCTAAACTCTCTGATTTCCTAAATTATTCTCATTTTACACCTCTTCCTCTGGCTCCCTTCCCTCCAGTATTCTCACTGTTTCTGGCATGTGGGTTAATCTACAGTTGGCTCATTGTTTCTTTAATACTCTTTATTTTATTTTATTTTTTCTGAATTTTTTGTTTTTCTCTCTCCCTCCCTCTCCCCCTTTTCTTTTTAGTGGTTTTTGTATAGCAGAAATGCCAATATTCTGTCTTGTTAGTGGGAGATCTTGTCTTAAAGCAGCTCTTTGACCATCGTTAGTTAATTTACTATTTGTCGCCATTCCAGCTCCCTTCCCACTGCCTTCTGAGATCCATCTATTTACTTCCCTTTATTTTTTTATGTCTCTTTTACCATTTTTCCCTTTTCTTACGGCCCTAGGGAACCTTTCTGTACTTGATGGCGAGTTGTTACTAGTTCAGCTTTCATTTTGTGGCTTGTTTCACCAAAGCCGAGCCCTGTGGTATCTGCCTTCCTTTTATGATAACATGAATTTGTCCATTTTAGCCACAGAGCTTACCTGTGGTCCAATTCTGTTTGATTTTCTTCTCCATATATGGGACAGTTCTCCAAATTAAACATTAAATGTGCGTGATTTCTTGAGCTTACATGTGAAATGACTCCTTGACTCTCCTCTTACTATCCTAAAGTAGAAGAATTTGGCAGTTTATTTATCTCATCTTTGACTTTTTAGACTATAAGGCCCTCAAAGGCATGGGTTTGGACCTACTCCAGATTTGGAGAGCAGCATCTTCCACAGAATTGCTGTTCTCCCTTCCCCACTGCTCTGCTTCATAACACTGCAGGCTGTCAAGCTGAAAGAGGCTTCAGCATTTATCTAAGTACCTATCTCACTGAGTCATCTTTGACTCTTAGGCACAACACAGTGCTTGGCCAGGGTAACTGCTCAGTAATGTTTTGGGGTAAATGCAATTAAACACATGTCTTCTGCTCAAATCAGACATGTATCTCTTACAGTGATCTTCATCACTTTGCCAGAAGAATGGGGCTCATTAAGTCAGGAAACATTTGCATTTGTAATTTGCAAATTGTTTGAAGGATTAAACTTTCAATACATTTTCCTCCTGAATAATGGAGAGTATAAAAAATTGAAGTTAGTTCAATGGGGAACCTCTCTGATGAGAAGGAGTTTAATAGGGTTTGGAAATTGCTAAATTTCCATCCTCAGAACAGAAGGCCCTGCACGCTATAATCCCTGATTATGTCATCTTTTAAAATTGCATACAAGGCTCATCTTTTAAAAAATATTTCTATCAGTTAATGGTCAACAGCAATTTAGTAATATATTAAACATATATGTACACATATATGAATCATTTGGGTCTATGTTTTGTCAATATCTGCAAAATTCAATTACTTATAGGTGAAACTGTAGGGTGGAAGGAGAGCTCCTACCTTTCTTGAAGTTTTCACCAAGAAGAGAACAATACTAATCTATGTGGTGGGGTCATAATTTAATACATGTCTTGTGCTGTGTTACTATTGGTGTGTATGAGGGGCTTGCTACATCAAGAAGTCATACACACAGACATGGTAATCTCTTTTTCTTGCTTCCATGTGTTGTAACTGGCAAGCTGGCACTTTTTTCTCTCTGTGTTTTCTTCTCTGATATGTTACCTAAAACAGTTTGATTTATTCCATACCCCTATATCATTGTCCTTACCTTTTGCTTTTTGGTATGAACCTTGACTCTTCTATACAATTATGATCTCTGCCTAGCCCTTGAACTGTTCCTGGTCACACTGTGAAACATCACAACTCAATTCATTCTGGCTCTTTGGATCTGGCCCCAGTGCTAGCCAAGGTGTTGATGTCCCTTCAAGTATTGCCTTGGCATAGCCCTGGCAATAAGACATTATGCAGTATTTACCAGTCAAACATCTATCCTAAGGGTTGTAGGGTATGCAGATTGAAGTGGTCTTGAGAGATAAATCTGAAAATCAGAGTAGAGCTTCAGTATTACTCTGCATAGTTTCATACTTTTTGGCAGATTTCCAGATTTTACAGTAGATGCATATAAAGTGAAAAAGTCAACCAAGAATACAGTTCCTTCTCGGGCACATAAAAGCTTGGAAGCTCTCCTAATTGGGAAATATTCCACAGTTTAAAATCTGCTGAATCCTAGATTAAGTAAATTTGAGCTGTATTCATCAAAATAGAGTCTTGAGGGAATATACATTTTCCAGTGTACCTTATGTGAGTCCCCCCGACCCCGCCCCGCAGTGACTTAGGGAAAATTTTAGACTCATCTCTTGGCATGACTTAAGTGACCTGGAGTAGAGGTAATTTCAAAGAATTCCAGCCAGATCATTCGGCTGACAAGGGTTCCTACTGAAAACATCTGAACACACAGACCTTAAGTGTTGATCCCTGAGATTCATGAACCCAAACATGTCTTTTCTAGAAGTATCAACACCTTAGTAGCCCTAGCAGAGAAAGTTAACCTAGGAGTAAGAGTTAGGTATACTGGATCAGCCATAAGCAATGTGTTCTTCTCGGGACTCCAGGGAGCTAGTGCTAAGCAGCCTCCAACCCCTGGCTTCCATGTTTAATGCAACTGCATTTCTTTTAAGTACATGTTGAAATACGTGGGTTAACCAGTTTGTGTTGGTAGAGGTCCTTAGGACAAGAATGCTTATAAAATTTAAGAACAATTAAGAAAATTACTGTATGCAGATGCGATTTGTATAGCTTCAGGCTGAAAGAATATAAATTAAAAAGTAATAGGATCCCAATTAAGGAAGGCTTATACTAATTCTGAAAGAGCCTGGAATATGAATTTAGATAAACTGGTTTAAATCTTCCCCTGCAAAGTAGTAGCTGAATGACCTTAGACATACTACTTAACTTTTTGAGACAGGTATCCTTATAGTTAAGGAAATTAAAGTTTATGACATTTAAATAACTTTAACATGGTCACAATGCCACTAAGTTATGGTGACAGTGGACAGAATATCCAAAATTAGAATTATAGCATTCAGCCTCAAGTTCTTCTGGAACTCTGCTAATGTTCAGGAATAAATTGTGATGATTATCAATTTATATGTTGGGTTTTTTGAATGGACATTTGTTTGATTCATTTTTTTGAAGATTTTCTAATTCTTCTCAATGCCTGGCACATAATAGGTTCTTAAGAATATATGCAGAATCAATAATGAAAACATTTATTATTAATAAAAGGCCAGTGAGTATTGATATTGCTTGACTGTGTAAGCATAAAGATAAACATAGTTTGAAGAGAAAAGAGTCTCTAGTGTGTTGAATCATAATTCAGGGTCAACTGAGGAGGGAGGCCTAGAAATGCTAGCACCAGCAGAGTATAATCACTGGTATAAAGGGTGTTATCCCAGTGAAGAATAATAACCAAACAGCCAGGTCAAGGAAAATGGATAAAACTATGAATAATTAGATGAGCATGTCTTCTCCTGGTGGAAGAACAGAAGGGGGTTGCTAGCTTCCTGACAGCACGGCCTCTTACCTTCTATTCCTTCTGTCTCCAGACAAGGGCTTGACCTTATATTAGTTAATTTCAGCAAATACATGTGAACAAAGGAACGAATTAATCACTGACTACTTGATTCAATTCTCAAGGGATACAGAACAGAACTGCAGAAGCTGTTCAAAGAAGAAAAGGAGGATTCTACATCCCAATTAGAAGCTAGAATAAACGATCAGAACTATGGCTAATTAGTCAAAGGGTTAGGGACTTCTTAGGCCAAGAACAACAATGTGTCTGTCAGTGTCCAGACTCTTGGGATTCTTAAAGAAAAGATAAGTGTTGATGACCAGATTATGACCAACCCATGGAGCTTTCTCTGCAGGAACAATGAATTTATTAGCACTTAGGGCCTTTAGGCAAGCATGGGCAAATCATAATCCTGGGAACAGCAGGTAAATTCTCAAACTCCTATTCACTTTCCCCAGAGTCCGATGTTCAGAATGCAGCAAGGGAGTAAATGTGGGCAAGGCTAAAAGCAATTTTGAGAAATAAAAACAATGTTTATATCCTAATGTTTAAAAAAAATTACTTGCAAAGCTTTTATACTGTATTACTTTATTTGGTTAATTTGTTACAGGATTATGATTTTTATAAATATGTCAGGGCTAATGTTCTGCCATTCAGTTGACATCCGCTCTGCATATAAAATGCAAATGCCTTAGCTTGGCATACAAACTCTGTGTGGTATGTTATCAAGTTGACTACTTTTCCAGAATCATCTCAAATCCTTTTCATATGCAATTAATGCTCCAGCCATACTAAATTTATCTTTCAGGTCTTGGTGAATTTGCATATGTCATTTCCTTTGTCTGTGAATTTGTTCCAAACCTAAAACCCCTTTTCATTTACAGGATCCAAGTCCAGTGTTTTTCCCTCATCACCAAATATCTGAGAAGAGTTCATTATTTCCCTCTGTATATCTGAATATATCCCTATTCTTTTTTTTTTTTTTTTTTTATTATACTCTAAGTTTTAGGGTACATGTGCACATTGTGCAGGTTAGTTACATATGTATACATGTGCCATGCTGGTGCGCTGCACCCACTAATGTGTCATCTAGCATTAGGTATATCTCCCAATGCTATCCCTCCCCCCTCCCCCGACCCCACCACAGTCCCCAGAGTGTGATATTCCCCTTCCTGTGTCCATGTGATCTCATTGTGCAATTCCCACCTATGAGTGAGAATATGCAGTGTTTGGTTTTTTGTTCTTGCGATAGTTTACTGAGAATGATGGTTTCCAATTTCATCCATGTCCCTACAAAGGATATGAACTCATCATTTTTTATGGCTGCATAGTATTCCATGGTGTATATGTGCCACATTTTCTTAATCCAGTCTATCATTGTTGGACATTTGGGTTGGTTCCAAGTCTTTGCTATTGTGAATAGTGCCGCAATAAACATACGTGTGCATGTGTCTTTATAGCAGCATGATTTATACTCATTTGGGTATATACCCAGTAATGGGATGGCTGGGTCAAGTGGTATTTCTAGTTCTAGATCCCTGAGGAATCGCCACACTGACTTCCACAATGGTTGAACTAGTTTACAGTCCCACCAACAGTGTAAAAGTGTTCCTATTTCTCCGCATCCTCTCCAGCACCTGTTGTTTCCTGACTTTTTAATGATTGCCATTCTAACTGGTGTGAGATGGTATCTCATAGTGGTTTTGATTTGCATTTCTCTGGAATATATCCCTATTCTTATAAATCACACATCCCATTGTTTTATAACCATTTACTTACATTTCGACCTCATTCACTAGACTGTCAGCTCCTAAATGTCAGAATTCAAGTCTTCATTTTGTCTACCCGACCATAGTTCAACACATGGTCATTGGCTAGGCAAAAACATCCATTCAAATGCGCTTATAAAGGTATTCTCAAAATAATATTCCACCAATAATTGCTCCAATTAACTAACATTTAAAAAAACAACTTGTAGCTGGGCGTGGTGGCTCACGCCTGTAATCCCAGCACTTCGGGAGGCCGAGGCGGGCGGATCATGAGGTCAGGAGATCGAGACCATCCTGGCTAACACGGTGAAACCCCGTCTCTACTAAAAATACAAAAAATTAGCCAGGCGTGGTGGCGGGCGCCTGTAGTCCCAGCTACTCGGGAGGCTGAGGCAGGAGAATGGCGTGAACCAGGGAGGCGGAGCTTGCAGTGAGCCGAGATTGCGCCACCGCACTCCAGCCTGGGCGACAGAGAAAGACTCCGTCTCAAAAACAAAAACAAAACAAAACAAAACTTGTAAATATATTGTTGAAGATTGTTGAAGATCATGCTATGAACTTGGTCCCTGAATGTTTTGTCTACATTTAGTTATTATGGACATTTGCTCTGGCATGTGGGGACCTAGGAAGAATAAAATCTCTAATACCTGTAATTATGTGTGTGTAGTCTGCCATGAGAAATGACTTTTCTAATCTGAAAGCCTAGCTGAAAATGCCATGTTTTTGGTGATTTCATTAACATTTTAAGATGTTAACAGTTCTGTCAGCCCAAACTGAAAATGACTGTGTGAGAAATGAAAACTTGCGTAACTCTGACATCCACTATTCATGGCTCATTATCCTCCCGACTTTCATTATGCAGTGAAGAAGTGGGGGCAGCCTTACAAAATTTAAGAACAATTAAGAAAATTACTGTATGCAGATGTGACTTATGGACTGAGAATAACTTACTTTCTGAAAGACTGTATTAAACAAAATAAATAAGGATGATGGAAAATCCACAGATGTTTTATGGCTTAAGGCAGCTTTTCAGTTATTCATTATAAAGTCTCCTTCCTGGGTTTTGCTCATTTCCCTTGACTTGTTCCTGAATACTTTTCAAACTTTCTCTTTTCCTGTATCCCTCAGGAGTTTAAAAAGTCTCAGGTATACTTCCTGAAGTTCTTTGGGTTCATTTCTCAAACACATTCATCATGATGAAAATATTGTCACTGACCCGGTGTAAATTACTGCTGGGCTTCAAACCTCACAATCTTCTTTTACAGCTTCAAAGTTTGTGGAATAAATAGCCACGAGGGCAGAGGTTATATACTAACCTAACATCCCACCATAAGGAGAGAGAGAGAGAGACAGTGAGAGAGAGAGAGAGAGAGAGAGAGAGAGAGAGCGAGAGAGAAAGAAAACCAAACAGAAATCATCCAGTATTTATGTAAATTTAAAAAGTACTTAATTTAGACAATATCTACCATCTATCCATTTCTTCTACAGCAACAGATAATGTAGGATGTAAATAAAACAGAAAGTTACTTTTCTTTCTTTCTATGTCAATCCCCTGCCCTCCCCTTCCCTTCCCTCCCCCTTCCTTTCCTTCTTCCTGTCTTTTTCTTTCTTTCTTTCTTTCTTTCTTTTTTTTTTTGTGACGGAGTCTCGCCAGGCTGGAGTGCAGTGGCACGATCTCGGCTCACTGCAACCTCTGCCTCCCAGGTTCAAGCGATTCTCCTGCATCAGCCTCCCACGTAGCTGGGACTACAGTCGCGGTGCCAGCATGCTTAGCTAATTTTTTTTTTTTTTTTTTTTTTTTGTGCAGACGGGGTTTCACCATATTGGCCAGGATGGTCTGATCTCTTGACCTCGTGATCCGCCCACCTCGGCCTCCCAAAGTGCTGGGATTACAGGCGTGAGCCACCGCCCCTGGCCTCTATGTCAATTTCAATAAATACCTATTAAGTGCCTACTATAGGCTAGGCATTGGATAAGGCTCAATAATAGCGTCTCCACTTAACAGAATTTATATTCTAGCTCAGAACTCAGATTCACAGACAAATAATGAGGATAGAATGGGCCAAGTACCACTATGTAATTTTATATACAAAATGCCATGGGATCCTTGTGGAAGGAAGAACATAATTTTAATATAAATTAAATCTTGAGGAGCCAGAAAGATCAGTCTGATCTTGGTAAAATGAGACCCTAAGGTATATACAACTTAAGTCAACAAATATTCTTCTCTGTAGTTTCTAAACGTTTTTAGGATTCAAACAGAATCACTTTTCTTGCATTCTCCTTTTTACATGAGACAAAAAGATGCTAAGGAACTCAATGTAGTTTTCATAAGTGGTTTTTCCTGGCTGCTGTTTATGACTGTCCTTCCAAAACAATGACTATTTGAAATTATAAATCAAAACTTTGCTTGTATTTTTGTTGTAAAGGAGAATGTTTCTTGTCTTAGATAAAATTCTGAACCTTAATTATGTGCGAGCTTGCCAACAGTAGATTAAATCTGGAGAGTGGCTATAAAATAAAATATGCATGGATTTTAATCTTATGGAAATTATAATATGGGAAAAAGGGAAAGTTCAGATGATGATAGAACATCTAATTTTATTACTAATAGATTTGTAGTAAATATATTTGAAAAATTTTATTAACAACATTCTTTAAGGAGTTTACAGGTTGTGTTCAGTCTTTCACTTTTCCCTTACATATGGCATTTGGCATATTGCCTTGTACATAGTAGGTGCTCAATTTATACATACATATATATATGTAAAATTAAATGTACAACTATTTGCACCCCTTGACCTTTTATCATGTCTTTTTTTTTTTTTTTTTTTGAGACGGAGTCTCGCTGTGTTGCCCATTATCATGTCTTTTTTAAAGGTAAGAAGTTATGAGTTTGCCTTGTAGTCCTCAACATAGTCAGATACCACTGTTCCAGGATGGCCTAAAAACAGGGCCTAGTCTACAGGGAAACATTCGTCTTTGAAGAAATAATAATCTTCTGACTTGGCCTCTCTGACTACAGGTGGTCCTTTTTCAGAAGAAAGTCTAAGCCCTAATGAAATATCCTTTAAGGATATTCCCCCTTTCCCGGGAATCACCAAAACCATTTCCATATGATGTGTTGTTCTCTATTTTAAATGGACATTTTCGTTCTAGTTTCTGAATCATATTGAGGAACCGGAGCAGAAATGTATTTAATTTAAAAATAAACAAATATAATTATGAATGTATAAACAAATAAATAATATTTTATATATATATAATACTCTTATGGAACTCTTAGTTCTATTAATGTATCCTGTTTGTCTACTACCAATCTATCATCTATTATCTCTATCTATCTATCAATCATCAATCACAATGATTCTATGGGTAATAGGATCTACTCTTATATCCATTTTACATAAATGAATATAGAACAAAGGAAATTAAGGCTCAGAGAAGTTAAGTAACTTGATTAAGTCACTCAAGTAGTAAGTGGCAGTGCTAAACTTCAAGTTCAGACGGTCTGAACTTGAGTTCAAGAGTCTTTGCCTTTACTACTCTATACTGTCTTAAGCATCAAGGCCAGGGAGGAGGGAGAAAAGTCCATTTCTTGCTTGACTAATTTTTTCTTTGTATAGATTTAGAGAAACTTGATTAATTTTATTGATATGGAAAAGAGTGGGTAGGAAAAGAAACATTTATTTTGCATCTACTATAAGCTAAGCATGGTATTAGGTACTTTTCATATATAAATTTCATGGTATCTTTATTATACTATACCAAGCTATTCATTATTCTATTTTGCTAGTTAGAAAACTGAGGCTTGGAGCTTTTAAATAACTTTCCAAGAACACAACAGCTAGTAAGAAGCTAAACCAAGGTTTAAAGGCAGGATTGAGCACTCCCACTATACCATGTACTTACAAGTTTATAGATCAAATTACAGATAGCAGATCATGAAATACTAGCCTATATAACCAGAAATCCTCTAAGAAATATTATTAAAGTTTAAAGCTACTCAGAGTCAAGATTTCTGCAAAGCGGACAGATAGGGGAATTTTACTCTCTGTCATGGCCCTATGAATGGGGATATAACCGAGACCTTGCATCCTACCTTGATAAATATTGTCCTGAAGTGAGATTTGTAGTTTCCACCTCCATGCAGTTCATCGTGCTGGGAATGAGAGCAAGTTCTGGTTGGATCATGGTGGCTGTGGCTACAGCTCTTGCGACCAGCTCCATAGCATCTTGTACGTAGTGCTCAAAGACAGACTGTGTTGTTTTTCCATGAGCAATGAGCCCTAAGGGCAGACCCTCTGTCCTCAGTTCCTCCACATTCTGGGAATCTCCCAGCACCCAACGAAGTTCAGGGGGCATGACCCCAAACTGGGTTGTAATTTCGAAAATCCGCCGGATACTTTCCATGTCGCAGCCAAACATCACCACTGTGGGTGTGCTGTTCTTAATACTCTCAAGCTGGATCTGTAGGAAGCTCAAGAGGTCCTGGGTGGAGGGGAGGTTAGCGGTGATGTTGATGATAGAACCAAGGTGGAACTTGGAATTATTCTGGGTAAGGAGGAGGAAGTCGGTGATGTTCCAGTCTTCCTGGCACAGCAACAAGCTAAAATTGTACCAGTTGTTCATGGTCAGGATTGAGACAGTGACATCAGCATCAGAACTTAATGAATTTTCTAAACTCAGTTGTAGGTGAAGGGGATTCTGTATTTAAAGATATGAAAAAGAAGAATTAGAAAGCATTGGCCAAAGACTTTAACATAGGGTACTTTTGCTTTCTTATGAGGCTTAATCCTTTAATTTCACTGTGATACATAGTTCTGGGATAAAATTCCCATAGTTTGGAAAACTATGCTTCCTGTCTAATGGAACTATTGATTCCTAACAACTGATTTCCTAATAATTTTTGCTAAGAGTACCAGAGGGTGGATGGTTCTTGGTGTGAATATCAGAAGTAACACAATCATACATTTGGTTGAGGAGTTTTGTCAAGCTTGTCTACTGCCATATAGGCAGTCTCATTTATGGCTTCCCATTTCTTGGTATTGCTATTAAGACCTCATTTGTTAAACTTTGATCTCATACGCAATAAGGAGAAGAAATTACTTTTGTTTCTTTTTAAAATTAATGGCAGGAAATCTTAGCAAAATGCAGGTATTTTTATAAGGATGATGTGAAAGATGGATGCATCATAGTTTCCTAAACTTCCAGCCCCTTGAGGAAGACACTTCTAATAAGTAAAGAATAATTTTCAATACATACATCAAGACTAAGTGTGTAGTGCAATGTTAAAGGCTTGATTACTTTTCTGTATCTTCTGAACCTGGATTCTTGCTGTGAAAAGTGAAATCTGTGCCATTAAACACACTTATGTAACTTGTATCACAATTTTATCTACTTGTGGAATTCACAAACTTCATGGAAGAAGAGAAACTTATTTGAAAAGTCACAAATTAGCAGTCATATAATTGAAGTGGAAATAGTCTTCCAATGAATACATTTGTTAATTGTTGTCCTCAAGAGCAAGCATCTGACATCCTGACAATGTTTAGCACAATGTCTTATATACGTTAGGGGCACAATAAATATTGATGGAATTAACTATGTTTATTATGGGAACTATTGGATTGCTTTTAAGAGCTTGCTGAACATTCAATAATATGCATTAAGAAATGAGGAAGCCTTTCTCAGTAAAATCTCAAGCCCTTGTATGAAACGAAGAAGTGTGGCCTGTCCCTACGTACCAAAAAATGTGTAACAGGAAATAGAATTTATGCTGCACTTTAAACTCTCTGAAGGATTTAAATGACTTTGATACATGTAGAATAAAAAGTGAGGACTCCACAGAGGTTTACAGGAGGAAAACTATGACTGTAGCTACTCATGATGGTAGGTAGGATGGAGTCTTAAAATTTATTCTTAAAATTTGTTCTGAGAATTTGTCTTTTGTCTTTCCAAATTAAGCTTTTGAGCAAAGCTTGTAATGATAAAAACAGAGCGTTGGAAAAATCATCACTGGGAAGCATTCAACAGGGATGGGGAATTAGAAGCCCCTCAAGATCTTGATTACATGCTAAGTGTTCTACTGCTGTTCATGGTAGGGAGGGTAATGAAAAATGGTCTTTTTAAAATTAAAAAGGATTGGCCAGGCACGGTGGCTTGTGCCTGTACTCCTAGCACTTTGGGAGGCCGAGGCAGGATCACTTGAGGTCAGGATTTCGAGACCAGCCTGGCTGTTATGGTGAAACCCCGTCTCTACTAAAAATACAAAAATTAGCCAGAAATAGCTTGAACCTGGGAGATGGAGGTTGCAGTGAGCCAAAATTGCACCACTGTACTCCAGCCTGGGCAACACAGTGAGACTCTGTCTCAAAAATAGAATAGAATAAAATAAAAAGGATTTAGTGACAAGATCAGATGTGAGAGGCAAAAGAGAGAAAGGTCTCAAAAACCAGGAGACAGGATCCAATAGGTAGCTCTGGGTGTCCAGGCTTGAGCTGCCAGCAGGATCTTGAGGTGAGAGAAATGGAAGCTTCATTTCCTCACTCCTCATTTTGATTTGTATAAATTGCTCCTGTGTTTTCTTTTGCCCTCCTCTTTTAGCTTTCTTCCTTTCCTTCTTCCTTTTTATTTCCTCCTCTGTCTTAATCCTCTTTTAGAAGCAAAAAGCAATGGAAGGCAAGCTCCACATTTAGCTAGCAGGAACAAATTATTCCTAAGTGTTTTCTTGGCTTCAGCTCCCTATTCTGTTGCCAGTTTTCTTCCTAAAATACAAATATGACCATATCATTCTCCTGCACCATAACCTCCGAATCACCCATAGGACAGATTTAAAAATCAATAATATGGCTTAAGAGTCACGGATGAAATTGTTGCTTTCTTGCTAAATAGGAAGTTGAATTAGCTAATCATATTGAGCATTTAGTATTAGACAGAGAAACAAATCCAATAGGCATGAGAGAGAGAGACATGGGAGTGAAATGAAGACCCCTACAATGGATAATGATTAATTCATATAATCACACTCACCCCTACAAACAATTCTACTGAGAAATTCCAGATGTTGAAATTAATCCTTACACAAACTTGAGACATATTTCTTCAGAAAATTATTAAATGATAGTTTAGAAGCATCTAATGAGATATTATTGATTTAGCAGCCTCAGATGCAGTGTTTTCCAATTTCTCCCCATATAAGGACAAAGGCACACACATATGCACATGCATACACATGCACACACACACATACACACACACACACACACACACACACACACAAAGATTATGAAAACTTATAACACTAAAATTCAAGCCTGATAGTAAAATTTTTGTCAAAATCCAGGACAAAAATTAAACAAGACCTATTGAGTAAAATTGAAAAGGAAAATCTGTGTCTTACATATGGTTTGTTGTTTGCAAAAGAGCAAGCTCATGGCCTGAAAGAAGATATAAAGATTTTAAAAGTAATTTCCATATTGTTTTTCTCCTAAATCAGAGATCCAGAAACAGAACAACTCAAGAAATAGGAAGCCTGTCTCTATCATGCAGATAGAGTGAAACTGCCTTATAGGTACATTCAATTTATCTATATTAAAATAAACAGGCTCAGAAGAGAGAGGTGGGAGGGAGAAAATATGAATTTAAATAGTACTGATAATTCTCATTCCCTTAAATAAGTGTGCTACTTATTATATTATGGTATATTATTTATATTATCACATACTTTAATGTAGCTATATTATTTTTCATATTGTATACACAAAACCATATATGTCAAGCTAAATAGGTAATTTAAAAGATTTTAAAATGTAATTTTTCTACACTTTGAATTGAATCTTCATTTCTAGTGGAGATGAAACTCCACTCTACTCCATTAATTTTGCAGGTTTTGTTCCATCATAATCTGGTTAGACATTGTTTCAGAGCCTGAAATTTCCAAAAGAATAGGGCAGGAAATATGGCTGGGGAATGTGTGTGCTGCCATGCACTCGTAGAATGAAATCCCAAGTAAGTGCAGAGCTGCAGGGAGAGAGGAGTCACCAAGAAGTTGGTTCAAAGCATCAAAGAATCATTCAGTGGTGTGGGAGAAGATTGCTTAACCCGCTATGGATCAGACTGTAAATATTAAAGTTCCATATACAGAAAAATCAGGCAAGAGTGGTAAAAATATTTGGAAAAAGAAAATGATAGGCCTTGCTTTGGAGGATATTAGAACACATTAGAAAATGTCATTTTTATAAAGCAATAATAATTAAAACAGGGAAGCACTAATAGGTACTAATAGGTACTAATGGAGTATTAAATTACTGTGTTATAAATTAAAATAACAAAGAAATAGGGAAGGAAATAGGATATTAGAATTTGAGAAAATAGATTAGTTAGAAAAATAACAATTAAATTTCTCATTACATCATATATTAAAAATATGTTCCAGGCCATTAAAGAGCTAAAAGTACAATATCAAATCATTAAAAGATAGACCAAAAGGTAAATATGTATCAGAAATTACAATAATAAAAGGAAAACATTGAATTATCACAGCACACCGTATTTTTAGTTTTAAACACCTATCATAAAAAATAAAGGAACATGAAAAACAAGAGAATATTAGTAATAAATTGGGTAGACAAAGAGTTAATGTTCACCAAATGTATAAAACATTTACTAGTCAATAAGGAAATAGAAGCCTTTACTGAACACTTATTCAATCATGAAAAATAATTTTAAGCTCCTACCTTGAGCCATGACCTCTGCATGGCATTTCCTGTTGTCTCTATGGTGGATGAGAGATAGACAATATGTAACTAACTATATGAATAAACACTTCCTATAACTAGAAGTCATGAAAATTACTGTAAATGAAATAATAGGGTCCAGCAAAACTAGGAGAGGAAGAAGAAACTAGGAAATATTAATTTAGTAATTATGATTTGTAGGGGTTGGGAGAGACGAGTATTTGTACTATACAAGCGTTCTTTAATTGGGACTTAAGAAAAAAACGAGATGTATTTGAAAACAATTGATCACTATATAGGTAAATATATATAATGATTTATAAAAGTAAACACATTTAACTAAAAATGTAGTCTCATTTTGACCATCCATTCTTCTTTGACTGGGTACTGTCTTCCTAGTCTCAGATAAATGGTTGGAGCCACCATCTGCTTCTATATTTCCTGTGCGATTCTGCATTGTCCTCTTCAGCAGGTTCTACAGTGTCCTTAAGTTCTAAGTTTTCCTTGCTGGTGGGGCCACTGTCTTCTTCAGCAGTTGGGCTTTTCTGTCCTCTTTTGAGAAGCAGTATAGAGGTTAGGACTTAGTAGTCAGGGCAACCTATGCTTAAGTTCTGTCTCCATGATTTATGCACCATGTGGCCTTTTGTAAGTCATTTAGTATCTCTGAGTCATACCTCCCTCATCTCTAAAATGAGGACAATGCTACTTCCTAACTTATGGATTCATTTTGAGAATTAAATGTAAGAATGTGAGAATGCATGGAAAGTGCCTGGCGCAGAGTGAGGGCCCATAAGTAGTAGTTGTTACAATTGACTTACAGAGTTTAGTCACTGTTGGAAGTGACTGACTGCAATACAGTATTTTTCTTTGCTTTTGCTCCTTCTCCTTTTTCTTGTCTATTTTCATACAATGGTCTCAGCAATAGATATCTTTTACAAACATAAATTACACCAACTTCTCAGCAGGAAAACAGAAGTGCTCTGTAACATATTGGGAGAGGCTGTTTATTTGGGAGATACTATGTTTACAGTAGAGTCCTCCCCACACCCCCAACTCTTCTTTCTTTAGTAACAAGCTCCAGTACCAGTCAGCATGCAAGTTAAGGAATTCTTGGTGCCAACTCCTGGAGATCCCTCATCAGTCTTTGTTCTCTCAGAGAGCACAGATTCTGCTAGTTTGTGGATTAGTAAGAGTTTCAAAAACAGGATTGCCTGCAGGAAAGAGTTTGCCACAGAGCTTTGAGATATTCCCTGACTGAATAAAAGAGGTGATGGGGCTGGGTTTAAGAGAAGAGAAAAGATGCAATTCTCTCAGCTCTTTCCTGGGCAAGGGGAACCAAATGAGCTAGGTCAAAGCCCAAAAAGCTCAAGTGAACATAATGTTTCCACTGCTTTTACCAGAGATGAAATTTCCTTCCTTTCATCCGTCTGCTGATTACTAAATACATTTGAGAGGCTCAGAACAGGCTTTCTACACAGCTATCGCTTCTCCTCAGCCAAAGAGGCTGCAGGAGGTTTTCTGTTTCTCATTATCTCACATCTCATTTGACCTATATTATACAGAAGACTTTTTCTTCTGAAAATTAAAGATTGTTCCTTTAGCAGCCCAGGCTTTTAAATAAATTAACTATTCTTATGGTTACATTAAGGACACAGACAAGCATAAGGTGTAGTCCCTGCCCAGAAATTGTAATTTAATAATAATTATACAAATGAAGAGCTAATACCTACTGATGTCCCTAGTGCCTTATGCATATTATTTTATTTCATCCTCACAATGGCCTCATGAGGTGACTGCAATGATCATCCCCCTTTAATAGAAGACAAAATCAAGGTTCAGAAAAAGTGAGTAATTTTCCCAAGGTGGCACAGCTACTAAGAAATAGAGCTTGGGCCAGGTGTAGTGGCTCATGCCTTTAATTCCAGTGCTTTGGGAGGCTGAGGTGGTAGATCACCTGAGGTCATGAGTTTGAGACCAGCCTGGCTAAGATGGTGAAACCCCATCTCAGCTAAAATATATATATATATATATATATATATATTGCACGGAGGGGTCACACGTGCCTGTAATCCCAGCTACTCAGGAAACTGAGGAACGAGAGTTGCTTGAGTCTGGAGGCAGAGGTTGCAGTGAGTCAAGATTGTGCCACTGCACTTCAGCCTGGGTGCAGAGTGAGACTCTGTCTAAAAGAAAAAAAAAATAGAGCCTGAATTCAAAACCACAATTTGTTGGACTCAAAAGCCTGTGCTTTTACCTATTATTCTATACTGTTCCCTCTACTTGATAAAAGCAACATGTGCAGTAGATCCTTGACATTTGTAGATTTAATAATTTCCAATTATTTGCCAGTAATCCTAAAGGCCCATGGAATAAAGCCACTTGTAAGGTGTCTGAGGCATGAGTTAGAATGACATTCCCTGTGTTTCTGGGCCATGGGAGTCAGGGAGTCTCCAGCCTGCTGCCCAGTGTGCACATGGCTTCCCAGCTGTTTTCTTCGCTCATCCTCCCATATGTAGCAATTCTTGTGAAATGATGAAACTTGTATTTCTTCATGAACAACACTTTAAAAAAGAATGATAGTTGCATAATTAATGACATCAGTTTTGTGTTTGGTAGAGTAAGCAAGTTTGGAAAAGCTCACCTAAAGTTTTCATTTCAATTCTACTGAATTTCATGGTCAAAATTATATTCTAGACTATGTTCAACACCACATATGGGGATGTCAACAAAGATCTTAGCACATATCTCTCAGGATTTTTGAGTGGCTGATATATTAAAGAATATATAACAGAGCAGTACAATATAATGAATGTTTCAGAAGGCAGGATTATCCCTGCATGGTGCAGTTGACATAATATTGCTGGCAATGCTAGGTATGGTCTATTTCATTGCAGCAGTGTTGGAAAGGCTGAAAGGTTTGGTGATCTGGAACAGGGCCCACTTCTTAAAATAGAGTATACACAATTAGAAGAAAGTGTTGGCATGCACAACACCACTGTCTTCAAAGACAGCCAGCTTATTTATTCATACAACAAATTATTTTAAAGTCCATTTTATACCAGGCTATGGGTAAAGAATTGCATGTCTTCAGGCAGAAGAAATAGCAGGAGCATGCATATTACATTCTTTGAGCTAACCAATTCTTCTGAGCCCCAGGATGATTTACAGAAAGGAGTGTCGGGCATAACAGGTTGATTGTTGGTAATCACTCAAGCTACCTGCACCAAGCTTCTAATCATGGACTTTTTTCCCATGATAATTCCACCTAATTATTGATACCCAACTCATTCATCTACACATCATCCCATTTCTGCCTTTTGTTCAGTATGGTTACACTTTGTTTCTCTCACCCAAACCTTGGTAATCTTGAAAGCATTTGACTCACTCATTCTCTGGGTCCTATTCTCCCAGCCCACTCATATAAATTATGCCCCACACAAATACAACTTTTGGGGCTTAAAAAATGCCACCAACATACTTGGGAATGAGAGAGCTTTGATCAAAGGGCATGGCTACAGAAGATATTTAGTCATATGGTGACTTAGGAGGGCAGTCTGTTCAGGCAAGATGTTCCAACATGGGGAAGGGTAATCCAAGAACAGATAATCATTAGAAATGTGGGCATTTGACATAAAGAAAGACTATTAGTAAGCAATGAAATCCAAAACCTTGGTCAGAACTTCAGAGAGTCACTGCAATCTTCAGGAGCGTCTAGAAAGAGGTGGCTTTATTTGGAGTCACTCACATCTTCATTTGAATTATTGTTCTTCGATTTACCAATTATATATGTGAGACCTTGTGAAAACCATTTTCCTCTTTTGCGTAATGAAAATGGTACTGTTTACCTTATAACTTTTGTAAAGATTGAATAGCATGTATGCAAAGCATCAGTACAGTCATACCCAGAAAGTGTTAGTTTATAATGATGGTGACCATGTTGAGATTAGGAAGTTTACACTAAGAGACCTGATGTGCAAGAGCTAGAGTGGTGGTGCATTCAGTTCATTTAACAAGCACTTGAGTACCTATTTTGTGTCAGGCACTGGCTACTGATTGCTGAGACTACAGTAGTGAAAATAATCAATACGGTCTTTTCTTTCAGGATTTTAAAATCTAGGGGGCAGTATTATCAGCACCAAGAAACAAATTGAGGAATAGATTAGGAATAAGACAGTAGCAGACAAGAAATAAGGCCCCCAGTTTGAGCCAGTCTAAAAGGAATGGTGATGTAATTTTTGAGTTTTAGATTTGAGACAAATATCTTCATTCCAGCCTACATTTTAGACTAGCCCTGGTTACTAGAGCAAGACCAAGTCCGCAGGTGGAGGTCAAAGGACCATAGATGAGTGGAAAGAGAGGAGGTGGCTGGAAATGTGACAGCAGAACCTGACAATTAAGGAAGCTTCATCACATGCCTGACACGTAGTAACTGCTTGATAAATATTAGCCTTATTATTACTATTGTTAATTATCATTAGCAAACTTCTTTGTGCTGACGTAATTGATCCTTTCCCAATGACTCGTAGTATTCTGATGTCAACACCAGTCATTATGCCTGGAAGCCAGACCATAATGTGCTCAGAGGCTACAGAGACAACTGGTTTCCATGTTGACTGAATCAAGTGGAGCCAAGCTTTTGGAAATGCTGGAGCTCTCGAGCCTCTTTAGAAAATGCATTTTCTCTCTTTCTTGCCAGTGTTAGGTACTTGCTATCCCTTTTGCTATGTCACTGTGCCTACCTTCATTACTCCCTTGCACTCTCTTTTAATATGCTTTGAGCTAAAGAGAAAGCCTACCTAGCATGTTACAATTTCATTTCATGAGAGTAAAATACATCAGAGACTATCTCATAGGCGAAATAGACCAGCATTAGCAGCACTGAGGAGGGTAAGGACCGGATTAGAGATCCGGACTCTTGTCAGGAACTTGGACTTGCATTTTTCAACTTTGAAAGGGGAATAATACTAATTGTCAAACAACTACTTCAGAGAGATGTGGGGACCACATGATATTATGCATGTGAAAGTGCTTTATGAAGTGGAGAATATTATAAAAATAGAAGACATAATGCATTTGCTTATCTGTTTCCTGGACAGTAGGAATAGTGGAATCAATAACCCAGTCAGGGATGAAAGAGGCATTTCTGCAGTAGGATGTTAAAGCTAGATATAATTTTCAAATCTGATGCCAACTTCTTAATCTGTATATCATAAAGAGTAAGATTATTTGCTGAATTTTAAGAACTTTTGGAATAAAGATGTTGCTCTAGGACTGATTTTAGTTCCTAATTCACCACCTTGGTTTTGGTCAAATTAAGTAACATCTGAAGGAACATACACAGGCAGATGATTTACAAGATAATTAAAATTTATTGAATATTAACATCATTGTTACAGACATTCACTGTGACAAACTTGGACATATTTTCTTATAATGGGAACTATTGAAATATGCACCAGATAATTAAACTGTCTAGCATGCAAGTTAAATTCCCTATAGAAATTTGATTACTTTATGTCAATGCAGCCTGAAACTATTATTAAGAGATGGCATATGTCACATGCTAATTTGCTTTATTGCATTAAGAATGAAAACTCAGCTAAACGCTGATTATTTTTATTTTAAAGACCCTCTAGAACTGATACCATAGTTGACATAAACTTTTTCTCTCAATTCCATACTCTCAAGACATTTAAAACATTGATATAAGGATGTTTTGTATGTCAAAATCACAGTTCAACTAATTGTGATGTAATATGCCTTTTATATATATTGGTTTATCACTTCAGAATAATTTCATAATTATTAAATCAGCTTTACTGTATAATGGCTTATTTCATTTGAGAATTCAAACACTTTTTATTGATTCACATTCATTGCTTGCTACCTGACATTGACGAGCTTAACACTAGAAATAGTATTAGTATAACATTAAGCAGTATCTCAATACATTTCTATTTTAACACCTTATTTCAAAACTTGTGATCTATTAATTATGATTACACTTTGCTGCAATGACATTTTATTTCACTTTAATTGTGGAATACATCAGTATAGTTAACTCTTTGTACCTTTCAAATCATGGTTGAAAGTAAAGAGACATTGAGAATGTTGAATTTAGTTCTTAAAGTCTTTGGTCACAGAGGCAATACTTTCCCATGAATTAGTAATCAAACTCAAAGGCTCTTCAAGCAGCTCTGATGACCTCAGGCCCAGGACCATGAATCCTAAATGAACAGGTCTGTGTCTTTCAGGAAGGTCTACGTGAGCATTGTTACGGAATAAGAAATGAAAAAAATGTCTGGTTGGCTACTTTTCAAATATAACATTTGGGTTTCATCTGGCCCTTGTTGTAAACTCACTTGTCAAATCATTGCCTGCATCCACTGAAGCCCAGTATAATCACAAAGGGCAGAAATATTTAGTTTCAACAGTCCACCAGAAACCAATTAGTGCACTTATGACTTTGTCATTTGGTTTGGAAGGGAACTTAAAGCTCACCTATATCAAACTCTTGTACAGTTTATAGAATGCCACAAATTAAGGGGCAGGAGTGAATTAGAGGCATTTCTCTTTCTATTATAAAGGTTAATAATTTGTTGAGTTGAGATCATCCATCTTCAATATAATTTTTAATGAGTATGACTTAATTTTAATATGTATAAATGATACTTGTGGTTAATTTTACCTCCTGAATTTTAAAGGAAAGATTCTGGCTTAGCTAAAACATGCACACTCCAACACCTCTCTGTAATGCTTAAGCCACACATAATTGCCATTTATAAGAGAGGAATAAAGAACACACTGATTTATGAAGTTACTAATTTTTCTTCTCCACTGTGACAAACATACAATCACATGTCTTATGAGGACAGAAACATTAATTACTAATATAGTTAATGCAAAAAAAGTCCAAATCTAGTCAAATACATTTTCTGGGTTTACATAAGATTTACTGTAAGAATCCTGAAATTATTTCTGCCTGAAATTGTTTGCTATTTAATATCCTCATTTTGTTAGCATTACTTAGCATCTATTGGTGTTATTTTCTTTGAGATGCTTGCATATTACATCAAAAGCTTTTAGAATTTAAAATGGAAAGAATTTCCAAAGACTATTATTACATTTCCTAGAGTAGTCCAGTGAGCACAGACTGACAAAGAAAGCAGGGACCTTGAGAGATCCTTATTACAGTCGTGCGTCACTTAACGATGAGGGTACTGTCATTAGGTAATTTCATCATATGAACATCATAGCGTGCACTTACACAAGCCTAGATGGCATAACCTACTACACCCCTAGGCTACATAGTATAACCTATTACTCCTAGGCTGCAGACTTGAACAGCATGTTACTATGCTGAATACTGTAGTCAATTACAACATAATGGTATCTAAACATATCTGAACACTGTACATTTAGGCTACACAAAGTTTATTTATTTATGTATTTTTGAGACAGAGTCTCACTCTCTCAGCCAGGCTGGAGTGCAGTGGCGGGATCTTTGTCTCACTATAACCTCCGGCTCCTGGGTTCAAGCGATTCTTCTGCCTCAGCCTCCCAAGTAGATGGGACTACAGGTGCGAGCCACCACGCCTGGCTAATTTCTTGTATTTTTAGTAGAGATGGGGTTTCACCATGTTAGCCAGGATGGTCTCAATCTCCCGACCTCATGATCTGCCCACGTTGGTCTCCCAAAGTGCTGGGATTACAGGTGTGAGCCACTGCGCCTGGCCTACACTAAATTTATTAGAAAGTTTTCTTTCTTCAATAGTAAATTAACTTTAGTTTAATGTAACTCTAATTTTTAAAAAACCTTTTTGACTCTTGAAATAACACAGTATAAAACACATCGTAGAGCTGTACAAAAATGTTTTCTTCCTTTATATCCTTATTCTATAAGTTTTTTTGTATTAATTTGTTTTTATTTTTTAAAACTTTTTGTTAAAAATAAAGATATGAACAGATATTAGCCTAGGCCTACACAGGTTCAGGATCATCCATATCACTGACTTCCACCTCTACCTCTTCTCCCACTGGAAGGTCTTCAATGACAATGCATGGGGCTGTCATTGCCCATGATAAAAATGCTGCCTTCTGGAATACCTCCTGAAGGACCTGCCTGAGGTTGTTTCACAATTAACTTAAAAAAAATAAGTAGAAGGAATAACCTCTAAAATAACCATAAACAGTATAGTAAATACTTGGTAATAGGTTTTCTTCAACTCCATTATAATTTATAGAATCACTGTTGTATATGTGGTCCATGAATGTTATGCAGCACATGACTGTATTTCTGGATAAAGAGAGAATTGCTAACCAGCCCTTATATCATAGTCTAGCATCTCAAAACACTAAATTCATAATGCTGATGATTTATTTTATATCTTTCTTGTCTGGGTCATGGATGATCCTGAAGACTCAGGATCTCTTGCCTCCCTTCCCAGACTATGCATGAGCCATCACAGCAGACTGTTATATATCCCCATGTATTCTAGCTGTTGTGCTTATCTTCTTTGAAGAACAACAGTGGTGTTTCTTGTCCTGTTTGTTAAATTGTCTAAATATATCTTAGTTTCTGATGACCTTCAAAGCCATTCCAAAAAAACTTGGAATTCCCCAAATGCTCCAAGTTCTCTTGCCTCTACATCCACAGGTAAGTCATTTTCTCTGCCCAGAACTTGCTTTGCCTCTTTTTTTTGCATCGTCAACTCCCAGTCAACTTTCAAGGCTGTGTTCAGGTTTCTTATGCGGTTAAACATCCCTTTCCTGCCTCATTCTCAAGGTGTATTACCTGTCTCTCTTCATCTTCTGCCCCATCACCCTCTGTACAACCCCCAATAACTTATTACATGTTATAGTCATTATTAGTCTACTCATCTCTCTCCTTCCCTGGACTGTTCAGAAGACAGAGATGCTGTTTTATATAGTAAAATTCCAAATAACAGTGTCCAGAAAATGACAGACTCACAGAAGAGATTTGCTGATTGAATGAATAAATGGGTAAATGGTGATGTGTAGTTTAGATTTACAGGAAGAAGGCTGACCTTTGGCTGAAGAGTATGTCTATTTTTTATGAGTCATTTTCCTTCCAAGTTGACAAATATGGTTTCTACCTAGAGGCAAGAGTAATTATGATTTGCTTTCCCATAAA
This sequence comes from Homo sapiens, assembly GCF_000001405.40. NCBI lineage: Eukaryota > Metazoa > Chordata > Mammalia > Primates > Hominidae > Homo > Homo sapiens. Next base: position 101,700,386 of record NC_000009.12, read on the forward strand.
ATCGTATTCTATCAGGTGGCACAGATCTTTTCTGATGTCAATCAGAAAACTGGCACCTGAATGCTGAAAGAATTCACAAAATTGCTCAAGTGTATACATGTCTGAGGCACTGGCTGGAAATACAGGCAAATCATGATATGTGCAAACTCAATGTGTGTCCTTCATTTACTTTATACTAAAGATGGTTGGGTGGAAAATATTTATTGTGCTTTATAAATTATTCATAATACAATTATTATGAATTATTCAAAATAGAATTTGTTTAAATGCTCAACACTGATATATATTTAAAATAATTCAATATAAGAATGTATCAATATTGGGTCAACTTTTCAGTTATTTATCTGCTATCTAAAGCGAGGTACCATTATAGAACTGGAGACATAACTGAAATTTCAGTAATCCACATAGAATGGTATCCTAATGAAGTAAAAATAGAAATGACAGTAAATAAAGAAGAAAATGTTAAGAGAAAGGAAAAGACAAAGAAAGATGTCAGAAGTTTTATCAAGATTTTAAATGCTAAAATAACACATCTATTATCATTATGGATCCTAGAAAGTACCTTAGTATTTTGCATAAAAGAGAAAGCAATTAGGTCTCTGTTTACTTGGAGTTAGAGACACAATTACTCATGGCATGGAGGATGGGAGAAGGAAACATGGACAACTACCGCGAAACTTCTCCCCTCTTCTTGCCCCAGATTTGCCACTAAGGGTATATGTTGGAAATGCTTATTTTTTTCACAGGGAAATAAAGCTCAGATTACTATGAATCTAAGTGAGGTGGGCCCAGAATTAGTTTCTGAAGTGCCTGGTAACTTTCTTTCTTTCTTTTAACTTTTAGGTTCAGGGCTACATGTGCAGGATGTGCAGATTTGTTACATAGGTAAACGTATGTCATGGGGGTTTGTTGTACAGATTATTTCATCACCGACGTATTAAGTCTAGTACCCATTAGTTGTTTATCCTGATCTTCTCCCTCCTCCCACCCTCCAGTAGGCTGCTGTGTGTATTGTTCCCCTCTATGTGTCCATGTAGTCTCATCATTTAGCTCCCACTTGTAAGTGAGACCATGCCTAGCCATTGCAGAAAATTGAAACTGGGCCCCTACCTTTCACCATATACAAAAATCAACTCAAGATGGATTAAAAGCCTCACTGTAAAACCCCAAACTACGAAAACCCTAGGAAAACAAACAAACAAACAAACAGACAAAAAACCTTGACAATACCATTCAGGACATTGGCACAGACAAAGATTTCATGATGAAGATGCCGAAAGCAGTTGCAACGAAAGCAAAAATTGACAAATGGGACCTAATTAAGCCAAAGAGCTTCTGCACAGCAAAAGAAACTATCAACAGAGTAAACAGACAACATACAGAATAGGAGAAAATTTTTGCAAACTTTCAATTATATAGATGATTAGGAGTTTTTTCATTCCTCTCTCTTACCTCCCCAATGACCTTGTTCTGGAATCTGTATCAGCAGTCTCTCTCTATCCTGAGATCTCCCACCAGCTTACAGATATTCTTAGTATCATCTACTTTCCTCCTTCAGCTTCTATTCCATACAGATTTTTTTTTTTCAGTACAAGCCTGAGATTTGTGTATACTTAAAATCTTCATTTCTTCGCTGGGCGTGGTGGCTAACGCCTGTAATCTCAGCACCTTGTGAGGCCAAATTGGGCGAATCACTTGAGGCCAGGAGTTCAAGACCAGCCTGGCCAACATGGTGAAGCTCTGTCTCTACTAAAAATACAAAAATTAGCCAGGTGTGGTAGCATATGCCTGTAATGTCAGCTACTCAGGTGGCTGAGGCACGAGAATTGCTTGAACCTGGGAGGCAGAGGTTGCAGTGAGCTGAGATCACCCCACTGCACCTCAGCCTGGTTGACAGAGTGAGACTCTAATCTCCAAAAAAAAATTTTTTTATTTATTCACTTTACATTTTCTTATCCAATCAGGCCTTGAAACTCACCATCCATCCAAACAACTTTTATAACAATCATCAATGATCAATGCTGAAAAGCTTGATTTTCAGTGTACATATGACTCACCTCTACATACCTTTCAGCACAGTTGTTCACTCCCTCTTGAAATACCTCATCCTCTAGGCTTCTCAGTCTCATAGGCCTTGTTTTCTGATCTCAGCAGTTGATTCTTCCCAGTCTGTCATTTCTCTAAGTTTGGTGTGCCACAGGCCACTGTCTTTGCCTCTCTTCTTATCTGCACTCTCACTAAATTTAGATATCATCTATACCCCTTATTCTTCAATACAGAGATCTTATATATTGGACTCCATTCTTGATATCTCCTTTAGGGTTGCTGTTAGGCATCTGAAACTTAAGAAGTCCAGACAAATGTATTACTTTCTTTTCTCTATCCCCACTCTAGATACCCCTGCCAAATTCACTTCTCTCAAAGCCCTTCTCAAGTCACCATGACTGCACCATCACTCACACCAACTGCTCAGGCCAAAAACGAAGAAATCAGCTTTTAATCTCTCTTTTTCTTCTTGTCACTCCTTAATCCATCAGTTAGTCCCATTCACTCCAAAATATATCCTGAATTCAATCACTTTCATCATCTCCTTGCTTGTACAGTAAGCCTCCATGTCTATCACCTGGTCTACGGTGACAGACTATTGTGACAGACTCACTGGTATCCCTGCCTCCACCACTGCCTATTCAGTAATTAGTTTGACACACAGACAGCAGGCAGAGTGATTTTTAGAAAAAAATCTAAATTCACATTTTTCCTTTGCTTAAAACACTTCAATAGCTTCCTCATTGCAACTAAAGCAAAATACAAGCTCTTTACTCTCTGCCCTAAATGATCTGGCCTTGCTTACTGTTCTCACCTCACTTATTCCACCCACGTGGTCCCAAAGCCTTGAGGTTCAAGCTAGTTCCTGTCTCATACCCTGGTGGTTGCTGCTCCATCTGAGTGGAACCTTCTTCCTCTAGATCACTATGCGGCTGATTCTTTCTTCACATTCAGGTCTCAGCTCATATTTCAGAGCTGTCCTCCCTGACATTAGCAATCTCCTCACAGCACCACCCACCATCAAATGCATATTTTCTTTTTATGACACTATTTTATCTTCCTCAGAGCACAGTCAATAGCTGAAATTATCTTACTTAGTTCTTCATGAGTTTGCTAAACAATTCCTCACTACTAAACTGTAAGTCCCTAGAGGGTCCAGACATTTGTTCCTCACTATAATCTCAGGACCTAGGAAAACGTTCAGTGGCATTTGGTGGCTGACTTACTGACTCAGGATGTCTCTGTATCATGCATTAAAATTTATCTTTCTACTGAAGAGCTCACATTTTGATTGATAACGCATTTCTCAGAAATTGTCCTTGTGGAATTGTTTTGGGGGCTTATTATTTATTATCGTTACTCTGGGGTTTATTATTAATTCGTTTTGGCTGACCTGTAGAAATCTGTCTTTTTGGCTGCCTCTGTCTCGAGCAATCCCAGTCTGATACTCCCTCTGCCTCCACTACTGTCTCTTCATCAACATCTCCATCTTGATCTTATCTCTATCTTGGTCTCTAATATCTTTATCTAATTTAGTTCCTTTGAGGCTTTATTTTTGTATTCCTCTTTTGTTTAAACACAAGCGAAAGGGCTTCCTTTAAAATGAGCGTAATAATGGCAAACAACGGTATTTACTAAGCATTAGAAACCATTATCATCATATCCAAGCAGCTTGCTGCTTTAGTTAATGTCTTCAAAAGATGAGACGTTTTAGCTGTTATTAAAAAAAAATCATTATGGGACAGTTCTTTACTGCAAAATTGGATATCCTGTAGATCAAATCATGTTTCCTAAAATAGTCTTACTTAGGATTCCTGGTAAAATAGGGCTAGTCCATTCCATGTCTTCATGTCATGTTATACAGAGGCCCAACTCAATCCTTTGATGTCTGAGGTCATATTCACTTCCAGGGTAACTCATGTTTCTAGGCAATATATTTTAGATTTATTTATTTGTTCTGAAAATATGCATTGAATCCCCACAATGTGCTAGGCAATGTGACATATACAGACAATTCTCAACTTAGAATGATTTGACTTAATGTTTTTTTTATTTTACCATGTAGCAAAAGCAATACACATTCAGTAGAAACTATACTTCGAATTTTGAATTTTGATCATTTCCCACAATAGTGATATGAGGTGTAATACTCTCCACTCTTTTGCCATGCTGGGCAACAGCAGTGAGCTCTGCAGCACCCAGTCCAGCCACACGATCAGGAGGGTAAACAGTTAATACTCTGCAATCTTTCCAGAGGATTTTGCCTAATTATAGGCTGATAGAAGTGTTCTGAGCATGTTTAACGTGGGCTAGGCTAGGCAATGATGTTTGGTAGGTTAGGTGTATTGAATGCATTTTTAATTTAATTTAAGATATTTTAATTTAATTTAAGATGTTTTATGATGTGTGTATTTTTATGGTATGTGTATTTTATAGTGTGTGTATTGGGTTGTAACCTTTTTGTATGTTGAGGAGCGTCTGTATTGGGAATGCAGCAGGAATGAGCAAAACAGACATGTTCTCTGTCTTCCTGAGTCTCAAAAGGGAGGCAGATATTAATAAGATAATACATTTGATAAGGAAGGGGGGGCAGGGAAATGCTGGGTAGAGAAGGGCTAGGTCCCTGGCAAGGGTTCCACCCTTGGGCCTGTGCCCATAGACCTAAATGAGAACACGCACTCCTGTTTTTGTGCCCAAAAGTTGCATTTCCAAGACCACTCTAGCCTACCATGCCTCTCCACCCCCATCCTGTGCCCATATAAACCTGAGACCTTAGCGGGCACACACACAAGCGGCTGAATGTTGAGAAGAGCAGAGGAACAGAGCCGCAGAGAACAGAAGAGGGAGGCAGAGAGCGCAGAGAACAGTAGGGCAGCGCCGCAGAGAAGGAGGAAGAGGTGTCTGAACCAAGCCGACCGCCAAGAAGAACGGCGGAACTCCAGGCAAAGATTACCTCTCCCGCCTCC